>NC_000023.11:85492845-85795875 GCF_000001405.40 Homo sapiens | reverse complement strand
TATAGATGGAACATCATCAGGCTGACAGTGAACCTCTTAGCTAAAATCCTACAAGCCACAAGAGACTGGGGGCCTATATTCAACATTCTTAAAGAAAATAAAATTCAACCAAGAATTTCGTATCCAGTCAAACTAACCTTCCTAAGCAAAGGAGAAATAAGATCCTCCTAAATAATCAAATTTGAGGGAGTTTGTTATCACCAGACAAGAAGCATTAAATATATAAAGGAAAGACCGCTACCTGTTAATATAAAAACACACTCAAACACACAGACCAGTGTTACTATAAAGCAACCACACAAACAAACCAACATAATAACCACATAACAGCACAATGACAGGATCAAATCCACAGGTATCAATAATAACCATGAATTTAAACAGACTAAAGTTCCCACTTTTTTTTTTTTTTCAGACAGGATCTAACTCTGTTACTAAGGCTGGAGTGCAGTGTGTGATCTCAGCTCACTCCAACCTCTGCCTCCCAGGCTCAAGCCATCCTCCCACCTCAGCCTTCTGAGTAATTGGTACTACAGGCATGCACCACCACCATGCCTGGCTAATTTTTGTATTTTTTGTAGAGATGGGGTTATACCCTGTTGCCCAGGCTGCTCTCAAACTCCTGAGCTTGGCCTTCCATCAGCACTTGGCCTCCCAAAGTGCTTGGATTATATGTGTAAGCCACGGCATCTGGTCTAAATGTCCCATTTAAAAGGCACAGAGTGGCAAGCTGGATAAAAAAGCAAGACCGAATGGTATGCTTCCTTCGAAAGAACCATCTTACACGGAATGAAACCCATGGGCTCAAAATAAAGGAATGGAGGAAAATCTATGAAACAAATGAAAAAAAGAAAACAGCAGGGGTTGCAATTCTAGTTTCAGACAAAAATAGTCTTTAAACCAACAAAAATCAAGAAGGACGAAGAAGGACATTACATAATGGTAAAGGGTTCAATTCAACAAGAAGCTCTAACTATTTTAAATATATATGCACCCAACACAGGAGCACCCAGAGTTATAGAGGAAGTTCTTGGAGACCCACAAAGAGACATAGACACCCACACAATAATAATGGGAGACTTCAACACTCCACTGACAACATTAGACCGAACATTGAGGCAGAAAATTAACAAAGATATTCAGGATCTGAATTCAACATTGGACCAAATGAATCTGATAAACTTCTAGGAACTCTCCACACAAAAACAACAGAATTTACATTTTTCACATTGCCACATGGCACATACTCTAAAATTGAGCACATACTTGGACATATAACAATCCTCAGCAGAGGCAAAAAAACTGAAATTATACCAAGCATACTTGCAAACCAACGTGCAATAAAAATAGAAGTCAAGACTAAGAAATTCACTCAAAACTATGCAATTAAATGGAAATTAAACAACATGCTCCTAAATGACTTTTGGGTAAATAATGACATAGAGGGAGAAATCAGGAAATTCTTTGAAACTAATGAGAATAAAGATAAAACATACCAGTATCTCTTAGACACAGTTATGGCAGTGTTAGGAGGGGACTTCCTAGCACTAAATGATCACATTAAAAAGTTAGAAAGATCTCAAATTAACAACCTAATTTCACAACTGAATGAATTAGACAGGCAAGAACAAATCAGCCCCAATGCTAGCCGAAGACAAGAAATAACCAAAATCAGAGCTGAACTGAAGGAAATCGAGACACAAAACAACATTCAAAAGATCAATGAAACCAGTTGTTTTTTAGAATAAATTAATAAGATAGGTCACTAGCTAGACTAATAAAGAAGAAAAGAAAGAAGATGCAAATAAACATGATTAGAACTGAGGAAGGGAATGTTACCACTGACTCCACAGAAATAAAAATAACCACCAGAAACTACTATGAACAACTTTATGCACATAAACTAGAAAACCAAGAAGAGATGTATAGATTCCTGGCGCATACACCCTCCCAGGACTGAATCAGGAAGAAACTGATTCCCCAAGCAGATTAATAATGAGCTCCAAAATTGAACCAGTAATAAATAGTCTACCAATCAACAAAATGCCCAAGACCAGATGGATTCACAGCCAAATTCTACCAGATGTGCAAAGAAGAGTTGATACCATTCCTACTAAAACTATTCCAAAAAAATTGAGGAGGGACTCCTCGCCAACTCATTCTATGAGGCCAGCATCATCCTGATACCAAAACCTGTCAGAGAAATGCACAACAAAAACAAAAACAAAAAACAAAACTTTAGGCCAATATCCTTGATGAACATTGATGCAAAAATCCTCAATAAAATACTTGCAAACTGAATCCAGCAGCACACCAAAAATCAAAAAGCTTATCCACCAAGATCAAGTCAGCTTCATCCCCAAGGTGCAGAGTTGGTTCAGCATGCACAAATCAATAAATATGATTCATCACATAAACAGAACTAAAGACAAAAACTACATGATTATCTCAATAGAGGCAGAAAAAGCTTTCAATAAAATTCAACACTCTTTCATGTTAAAAACTGTCAATAAACTGGATATTGAAAAAATATATTTCAAAATAATAAGAGACATTTATGACACTCCCACAGCCAACATCATACTGAATGGGAAAAAGCTGGAAGCATTCGCCTTGAAAACTGGTAAAACACAAGGTTGCCCTCTCTTACCACTCCTATTCAACATAGTATTGGAAGTCCTAGCTAATCAGGCAAGAGAAAGAAATAAAGTTTATCTAAATAGGAAGAGAGGAAGTCAAATTATCTCTGTTTGCAGATGACATGATTCTATATCTTGAAATCTTGTAGTCTTGGCCCAAAAGCTCCATTAGCTGGTAAACAACTTCAGCAAAGTTTCAGGATACAAAATCAATGTATAAAAGTTCATAGCATTTCTATCCACCAATAGCAGCCAAGCCAAGAACCAAATCAGAAAGGCAGAACCATTCACAATTGCCACAAAGATGAATAAAATACCTAGGAATACAGATAACCAGGGAGGTAAAATATTTCTACAATGAGAATTACAAAACACTACTCAAAGAAATCAGGAAAGACACAAATAAATTGAAAATTATTCCATGCTCACGGATAGAAAGAATCAATATCATTAAAACGGCCACACTCCTTAAAGCAATTGACAGATTCAATGCTATTCCTATTAAACTATCAATGACATTCTTCACAGAAGTAGAATAAACACTTAAAAATCCACATGAAACCAAAAAGGAACCTGAATATTTAAGGCAATCTTAAGCAAAAAGAACAAAGCTAGAGCCATTGTTATCCAACTTCAAACTATACTACAGGGCTACGGAAACAAAAACATCATGCCATTGCTACAAAAACAGGCACATAGACCAATGGAACAGAATACAGAGCGCAAAAATAAGGCTGCACACCTATAACCACGTGATCTTCGACAAAGCTGACAAAAACAAGCAATGGGGAAAGGACTCATTCACTAAATGGTGGTGGGATAACTGTCTAGCAATATGCAAAAGATTGAAGCTGAACTCCTCTCTTACAGCATGTAAAATATCAACTCAAGGTAGATTAAACACTTAAATGTAACACCCAAAACTATAAAAGCTCTGGAAAACAATCTAGGCAATACCATTCTGGACATAAAAACAGGCAAATATTATATGACAAAGACACCAAAACCAATAATAACAAAAGCAATAATTGACAAGTAGAATCTAATTAAACTTAGGAGTTTCTGTGCAGCAAAGGAAACCTACAGAATGGGAGAAAATTTTTTCAAATTATGCATTTGACAAAGGCTTAATATCTAGAACCTATAAAGAACTTCAACAAATTTACAAGAGAAAAACAACCCCATTAAAAAGTGAGGCATGAACACAGCTTTTAAAAGAAGGCATAGGTACATAATGAAATGAAGGCAGAAATAAAGATGTTCTTTGAAACCAACGAGAACAAAGACACAATGTACCAGAATCTCTGGGACACATTCAAAGCAGTGTGTAGAGGGAAATTTGTAGCACTAAATGCCCACAAGAGAAAGCAGAAAAGATCCAAAATTGACACCCTAACATCACAATTAAAAGAACTAGAAAAGCAAGAGCAAACACATTCAAAAGCTAGCAGAAGGCAAGAAATAACTAAAATCAGAGCAGAACTGAAGGAAATAGAGACACAAAAAACCCTTCAAAAAATTAGTGAATCCAGGAGCTGGTTTTTTGAAAGGATCAACAAAATTGATAGACCGCTAGTAAGACTAATAAAGAAGAAAAGAGAGAAGAATCAAATAGATGCAATAAAAAATGATAAAGGGGATATCACCACCGATCCCACAGAAATACAAACTACCATCAGAGAATACTACAAACACCTCTATGCAAATAAAGTAGAAAATCTAGAAGAAATGGATAAATTCCTTGACACATACACCCTCCCAAGACTAAATCAGGAAGAAGTTGAATCTCTGAATAGACCAATAACAGGATCTGAAATTGTGGCAATAATCAATAGCTTACCAACAAAAAAGAGTCCAGGACCAGATGGATTCACAGCCGAATTCTACCAGAGGTACAAGGAGGAAATGGTACCATTCCTTCTGAAACTATTCCAATCAATAGAAAAAGAGGGAATACTCCCTAACTCATTTTATGAGGCCAGCATCATCCTGATACCAAAGCCGGGCAGAGACACAACAAAAAAAGAGAATTTTAGACCAATATCCTTGATGAACATTGATGCAAAAATCCTCAATAAAATACTGGCAAACCGAATCCAGCAGCACATCAAAACACTTATCCACCATGATCAAGTGGGCTTCATCCCTGGGATGCAAAGCTGGTTCAATATATGGAAATCAATAAATGTAATCCAGCATATAAACAGAACCAAAGACAAAAACCACATGATTATCTCAATAGATGCAGAAAAGGCCTTTGACAAAATTCAACAACACTTCATGCTAAACACTCTCAATAAATTAGGTATTGATGGGACATATCTCAAAATAATAAAAGCTGTCTATGACAAACCCACAGCCAATATCATACTGAATGGGCAAAAACTGGAAGCATTCCCTTTGAAAACTGGCACAAGACAGGGATGCCCTCTCTCACCACTCCTATACACCATAGTGTTGGAAGTTCTGGCCAGGGCAATTAGGCAGGAGAAGGAAATAAAGGGTATTCAATTAGGAAAAGAGGAAATCAAATTGTCCCTGTTTGCAGATGACATGATTGTATATCTAGAAAACCCCATTGTCTCAGCCCAAAATCTCCTAAAGCTGATAAGCAACTTCAGCAAAGTCTCAGGATACAAAATCAAAGTACAAAAATCACAAGCATTCTTATACACCAACAACAGACAAACAGAGAGCCAAATCATGAGTGAAGTCCCATTCACAATTGCTTCAAAGAGAATAAAATATCTAGGAATCCAACTTTCAAGGGACGTGAAGGACCTCTTTAAGGAGAACTACAAACCGCTGCTCAGTGAAATAAAAGAGGATACAAACAAATGGAAGAACCTTCCATGATCATGGGTAGGAAGAATCAATATCGTGAAAATGGCCATACTGCCCAAGGTAATTTATGGATTCAATGCCATCCCCATCAAGCTACCAATGACTTTCTTCACAGAATTGGAGAAAACTACTTTAAAGTTCATATGGAACCAAAAAAGAGCCCGCATTGCCAAGTCAATCCTAAGCCAAAAGAACAAAGCTGGAGGCATCACGCTACCTGACTTCAAAGTATACTGCAAGGCTACAGTAACCAAAACAGCATGGTACTGGTACCAAAACAGAGATATAGATCAATGGAACAGAACAGAGCTCTCAGAAGTAACGCCACATATCTGCAACTATCTGATCTTTGACAAACCTGAGAAAAACAAGCAATGGGGAAAGGATTCCCTATTTAATAAATGGTGCTGGGAAAATTGGCTAGCCATATGTAGAAAGCTGAAACTGGATCCCTTCCTTACACCTTATACAAAAATCAATTCAAGATGGATTAAAGACGTAAACGTTAGACCTAAAACCATAAACACCCTAGAGGAAAACCTAGGCATTACCATTCAGGACCTAGGCATGGGCAAGGACTTCATGTCTAAAACACCAAAAGCAATGGCAACAAAAGCCAAAATTGACAAATTGGATCTAATTAAACTCAAGAGCTTCTGCACAGCAAAAGAAACTACCATCAGAGTGAACAGGCAACCTACAAAATGGGAGAAAATTTTCACAACCTACACATCTGACAAAGGGTTAATATCCAGAATCTACAATGAACTCAAACAAATTTACAAGAAAAAAACAAACAACCCCATCAAAAAGTAGGTGAAGGACATGAACAGACACTTCTCAAAAGAAGACATTTATGCAGCCAAAAAATACATGAAAAAATGCTCACCATCACTGTCCATCAGAGAAATGCAAATCAAAACCACAATGAGATACCGTCTCACACCAGTTAGAATGGCAATCATTAAAAAGTCAGGAAACAACAGGTGCTGGAGAGGATGTGGAGAAATAGGAACACTTTTACACTGTTGGTGGGACTGTAAACTAGTTCAACCATTGTGGAAGTCAGTGTGGCGATTCCTCAGGGATCTAGAACTAGAAATACCATTTGACCCAGCCATCCCATTACTGGGTATGTACCCAAAAGACTATAAATCATGCTGCTATGAAGACACATGCCCACGTATGTTTATTGTGGCTCTATTCACAATAGCAAAGACTTGGAACCAACCCAAATGTCCAATAATGATAGACTGGCTTAAGAAAATTTGGCATATATACACCATGGAATACTATGCAGCCATAAAAAATGATGAGTTCATGTCCTTTGTAGGGACATGGATGAAATTGGAAATCATCATTCTCAGTAAACTATCGCAAGAACAAAAAAACCAAACACCGCATATTCTCACTCATAGGTGGGAATTGAACAATGAGAACACATGGACACAGGAAGGGGAACATCACACTCTGGGGCCTGTTGTCGGGTGGGGGGAGGGGGGAGGGATAGCATTAGGAGATATACCTAATGTTAAATAACGAGTTAATGGGTGCAGCACACCAGCATGGCACATGTATACATATGTAACTAACCTGCACATTGTGCACATGTACCCTAAAACTTAAAGTATAATAATAAAAAAAGATAAATAAATAAATATATGCAAATTTAAACCACAATGAGAAAAAAAATCTTTAATCGATCTTGAGTTAATTTTAATATATGATAAAATACCTAAAACTTAAAGTATAATAATAAAAAAAGATAAATAAATATATGCAAATTTAAACCACAATGAGAAAAAAAATTCTTTAATCGATCTTGAGTTAATTTTAATGTATGATAAAATGTAGGGGTCCACCTTCAATCTGCATATGGTTGGCCAGTTATCCCAACACCACTTATTGAATAGAGTCCTTTCCCTATTCCTTGTTTTTGTTGCACGTGTCTAAGATCAAATGGTGATAGACGTGTGGCTTTATTTCTGAGTTTTCTGAGTTTATTTCTGGGTTTTCTATTCTGTTCCATTGGTCTATGTGTCTGTTTTTGTATCAGTACTAAACTGTTTTGGTTAATGTGGCTTTATAGTATAGTTTGAAGTCAGTTAGTGTGATGTCTCCAGCTTTGTTCTTTTCGTTTAGGATTGCTTTGGATATTTGGGCTCTTTTTTTTTTCTGGTTTTATATGAATTTTGGAACAGTTCTTTTTTCTAGTTTTGAGAATTACTTTGGTAGTTTGATAGGAGTAGCATTGAATCTGTAGATTTCTTTTGGCAGTATGACCATTTTTATCATATTAATTCTTCCAATTTATGAGCATGGAATGTTTTTCCATTTATTTGTGTCATCTCTGATTTACTTTCAGCAGTGTTTTTTAGTTCTCCTTGAAGAGTTCTTTCACCTCCTTAGTTAGCTGTATTCATGCGTGTTTCATTTTTTTGTGGCTCTTGGAAGTGGGATTTTGTTCTTGATTTCACTCTCAGCATGGACAATGTTGCTGTTCAGAAATGCTACTGATATTTGTACATTGATTTTGTATCCTGAAACTTTACTAACATCATTTATCAATTCTAGGAGCCTTTTGACAGAGTCTTTAGGGTTTTCTAGGTACAGAATCATATAATCACTGTGGATTCTTGTTTTCCTATGTGGATGCCTTTTATTTATTTCTCTTCCCTGATTGCTCTGGCTTGAAATTCCAGTAACATGTTGAATAGGAGTGGTGAGAGTGGGCATCCTTGCTTGGATCCAGTTCTCTGGGGGAAGGCTTCCATCTTTTGCTCATTCAGTATGCTGTTGGCTGTGAGTTTGTTATATATTGCTCTTATTATTTTAACGTATGTTCTTCTGTGCCTAGTCTGTTGAAGATTTTTATCATGAAGGAATGTTGGATTTTATCAGAAGCTTGTTCTGCATTTATTGAGATAATCCTATAGATTTTGCTTTTGATTCTGAATGTTTATGTGATGAATCACATTTATTGATTTGCATATGTTGAACCAGCCTTGCATCCTTTGAATAAAGCCTATCTGATTGTGGTATTAACTTTTGGATGTTCTGCTGGATTCAATTTTCTAGTATTTTGTTGAGGCTTCTTGCATATATTTTCATGAAGGATATTGGCCTCTGATTTTCTTTTTAATTGCATCTCTGCCAGATTTTGGTATTGGATTGGCTTCATGGAATAAGTTACAGAGAAGCCCTTCTTCCTCAACTTGTTGGAATAGTTTCAGTAGGATTGGTATTAATTTTTTGTTTGTATGTCTGGTATAATTCAGCTGGGAATCCATCTGGTCCAGGGATTTTTTGGTTGGTAGGCTCTTTATCACTAACTCAACTTCAAAAGTTGAAATGTCTATTCAAAATTTCAGTTTCTTTCTGATTCAATCTTGGTAGGCTGTGTGTTTCTGGGAATTTATTCATTTCCTCTACATTTTCTAAATTGTGTGCATAGAATTTTTTCTAGTAGTCTCTGAGGATCTTTTGTATTTCTGTGGGATCGGTTGTAATTTCTGATTCTGTTTATTTGGATTTTCTCTTTCTTTTTCTTTGTTAAGCTAGCTAGGGGTCTATCAGTTATTTTAAAAACCAGCTCTTTGTTTTATTGATCTTTAGGATAAATGTTTACATCTCCATTTTATTAAGTGTTCTAATTTTCATTATTTATTTTATTTTGCTAGCTTTGGGTTTGGTTTGTTCTTCTTTTCCTAGTTCCTTTAGGTGAAAATTAGATTGTAAATTTGAGACCTTTCTGACTTCTTGATGAAGATGTTTAGGGGTATAAACTTTCCTCCTAACACTGCTTTGGCTGCATTCCAAAGATATTTTGGTAAGCTGTGTCCCTATTTTCGTTAATATAACTTTTTTCTGCATTAATTTCAATGTTCACCAAGGAGTTATTCAGAAGTAAGTTGTTTAATTTCCATGTATTTGAGTAGCTTTGAGAGATGTTCTTTGTATTGATTTCTATTTTTATTGCACTGTGGTTCAAGAGTGTGCTTGGTATGATTTTAATTTTTTTATAGTTATTGAGACTTGTTTTACGGCCAAGCATGTGGTTGATCTTGGAGGATGTTCTGTGTGCAGATGAGAAGAATGTACATTCTGTGGTTTGGGGGTGAAGTGTTCTATAGATGTCTATTAGGTCCAATTAGTCAAGTGTTGAAGTTAAGTCCATCATTTTTTTATTAGTTTTTTTGCTTTGATGATCTAACACTGTCAGTAGCATGTTGAAGTCTCCCATTATTATTGTGTGGTTGTCTAAGTCTTTTTGTAGGTCAAGAAGTTGTTTTATGAATCTAGGTGCTCCAATGTGGGTGCACGAATCTTTAGAATAGTTATGGCTTCTTGTTGGATTGTACCCTTTATCATTATGTAATGCCCTTCTTTGTCCTTCTCATTTTTATTGGCTTAAAGTCTCTTTTATCTGACATAAGAATAGTGACTCCTGCTCTTGTTTTGCTTTTCATTTGCATGGTAGATCTTACTTCACCCTTTTACTTTGAGTGTGTGGGTGTTGTTACATGTGAGCTGGGTCCCTTGAAGACAACAGATGGTTCAGTCTTATCTTTTTGTCCAGTCTGAGACCCTGTGTCTTTTACATGTGGTAGTTAGCCCATTTACAGTCAAGGTTAGTATTGATATTTGAGATTTTTATCCTGGCATCATGTTGTTAGCTGGTTGTTATGTAGACTTAACTGCACTGTTGTTTTATAGTGTCAGTAGGCTATATGCTTACGTGTACTTTTGTGGTAGCAGGTGTCATTCTTTTGCATCCATATTCAGCATTCCCTTAAGGACCTCTTGTAAGGCTGGTCTAGTTGAAATGTATTCCCTCAGCATTTGTTTGTCAGAGAATAATTTTATTTTTCCTTCACATATGAAGCTTAGTTTGACAGGACATAAATGCTTGGTTGAAATATCATTTTTATGGACACTGAAAATAGGCCCCCAATCTTTTCTGGCTTCTAAGGTTTCTGCTGACAAGTCTGCTGCTAGCCTGATGGGGTTCCCTCTCTAGGTGACCTTACCCTTCTCTCTAGCTGACTTTAAGATTTTTTCTTTTGCGTTGACCTTGGCGAATCTGATTACTATGTGCCTTGTGAATGATTGTCTTGTATAGTATCTGGCTGGGGTTCTCTGTTTTCCTTGTATTTGCATATTTACCTCTCTAATGACATTAGGGAAATTTTCATGGATATATCCTCAAATATATTTTCCAAGTTGCTTATTCTCTCTTCCTTTCTCGCAGGGATGCTAATTAGTTGTAGATCAGCTCTCTTTATGGAATTCATATTTCTTGGAGGTTTTGTTCATTTTTTCTTAATTATTTTTTCTTTAGTTTTGTCTGTGCTGTTTCAAAGAACCAGTCTTTTAGTTCTAAGGTTCTTTCTTCTGCTTGGTCTATTCTGCTAACCCTTCTGATTGTATTATAAAATTCTTATAGTAAATTTTTCAGCTCAGTAAGTAGTCTTTCTTAAAACGAGCATTTAATCTTTTAGCTCTCGAATAATTTTACTAGATTGCTTGGCTTCCTGGGATTGAGTCTCAACTTTTTCCTAGATCTCGATGAGCTTCCTTGCCATCCAGATTGTGAATTCCATTTCTGTCATTTCAGACAATTCACACTGGTTAAGAATCATTGCTGGGGAAGCTGTGGACTCATGTGGAGGTATGGGGACACTGACTTTTTGAATAGCCAGAGTTCTTGCACTGATTCTTTTTCATCTTAGAGGGCTGGTTTTTTTTTTTTTTTTGAGGGAGTCTTGCTTTGTTGTGCAGGCTGGAGTGCAGTGGCATGATCTCGGCTCACTGCAAGATCCGCCTCCCGGGTTCACGCTCCTGCTTCAGCCTCCCGAGTAGCTGGGAGTACAGGCGCCCACCACAACGCCCGGCTAATTATTATTATTATTATTATTTGTATTTTTAGTAGAGACGGGGTTTCACCGTGTTAGCCAGGATGGTCGCTATCTACTGACCAGATCGGCCTGCCTCAGCCTCCCAAAGTGCTGGGATGGGATTACAGGCGTGAGCCACCGCGCCCGGCCTGAGGGCTGGTATTCTTTTAATTTTGGTGTAAATTGAGTATATTCATTGGCTTTGTTTCTAGAAGTTTTCAGAAGATTAAGGTCTGTACAGGGTCTTTGTTGTTCAATGCTTGCTCTTGGTTTTGCAGGGGGCAGAATTACTAATTATTTGTGTTGTAGTTTGGGCTGCAATCCAGTACATGGCATTTAAGAGCAATGAGCGGTAGACAAATTCCTACAAGTGGTTTCTTTGTGTTTGCAGCTGTGTTCCCTTCCCCAGGCACTGGTCAGTGATGGAAACCTGCCGTAACATTTAGGCACCCCACGTGGGGTTCCCAGCTTCCTCTCTCTCCAGCCTCAGCAACTGTGTCTTTTCTCCAACCACATTCAGCACTTTCTCTCCAAAGATCTGTTCAAGTTAGACTGGTGTAGTTAAAATTGTGGTCTCTGTCCATGGGAGTGGCACTTCCCAGCTGCATCTAATTGACCATTCTGTAATTGTGACACTGTGTCTACACGAGATACCAGCTTCCTGACTTGTATCGCATTTTGATTTCTTACTGACCAGCAAAAGGCCAGGTTCTTCTCACAGCCTGCTTGGGGTAGCCACAGTCACACTTGCCCTCCAGGAGCTCAGGACACTGCCTTTTTATTCGTTAATTGTTTTATATATTCTACTTTAGATTCAAGGGGTACATGTGCAAGTTTGCTACCTGGACATGCTGCATGATGCTAATGTTTGGGGTATGATTGTTTCTATCACCCAAGTAGTGAGCACAGTACCCAATACTTTTTCAACCTTTGTCCCTCTCCCTACCTCCCTCCTCAGTAGTCCCCAGTGTCTACTTATTGCCATTTTTATGTCCAAAAATACCCATTGTTTAGCTCCCACTTGCAAGTGAGAACATGTCATATTTGGTTTTATGTTCCTGCATTAATTTGCTTAGAATAATGTCCTCCAGCGCATCCATGTTTGGCAAAGGACATGATGATTTGGTCTTTTTTATGGCTGTGTAGTATTCCCTAATATATATACCACATTTCCTTTATCCAATCCATGATTGATGTGCACCTGGGATGGTTCCATGTCTTTTCTACTGTGAATAGTTCTGTGATGGACATGTGTGCCTGTGTCTTTTTGGTAGACTTATTTTCTTTTGGTTATATGCCCAGTAATGGGATTGCTGGGTTGAATGGTAGTTCTGCTTTAAGTTCTTTGAGAAATCACCAGACTGCTTTCCACTGTGCTGAACTAATTTACATTAGAACCAACAGTGCATAAACATTCTCTTTTCTCCAAAGCCACACCAGCCTCTGTCATTATTTGACTTTTTAAAATACCCATTCTGACTGTTGTGAGATGGTATTTCATTTTGGTTTTGATTTGCATTTCTCTGATGATTAGTGATGATGAACGTTTTTTCATGTGTCCATTGGCCACTTATATATCTTCTTTTGAGAAATATCTGTTCATGTCTTTTGTCTCTTTTTAAAAGGGTAATATGTTTTTGACTTGCTGAACTGTTTAAATTCCTTATAGATTCCAGATATTAAACCTTTGTTGGATGCATACTTTATGACTGTAAATAATGTTTTTATTATGTATTCAATGTGTAATTCTTAGAAATATTGCTTTGAATATGCTTTATATTTTGATAAGTATTTATTTGCATTTCTTGAAAAATACATGTTTCTCCTTTTCTTAATAGAAAATGACCCAGAATGCCATAAGTCAGAATAGAATCTAAATGAGGAAACTGGAACACAACACTTTTAACATAAATTATTTAACATCAACAATTTTAACACTTTTAACAATTTATGACCATGTTTGATACATCACTACCTGAATGGGATACCCCTTTTTGTATAATTTATTATGTTGCTCTGATATTGTTTTTCCTAATGCGGTAGGAACCTGTTTGTGTGACTGAGTTCTTCATGGGAGCATTATTTGACTTTTTCATTGAATTACAAATTCCTACATGTAAAGGAATGTTTTTCATTTTAAAATACATTTTATTTTACTTTTTTTCTTATAAAATTAAAATCTCCTAGTTGAAGAGTTAATTATTGTTTTTTAACTTTTAAGTTCAGGGGTACATGTGCAGGATGTGCAGGTTTATTACATAGGTAAATGTATGCCATGGTGGTTTACTGCACAAATCATCCCATCACCCAGATATTAAGCCCAGTATCCATTAGCTATTCTTCCTGATGCTCTCGCTCCCCACACACCCCCTGCAGGTGCCAGTGTGTGTTGTTTCCCCCCACATGAGTCCATGTGTTCTCATCGATCAGCTTCCATTATAAGTGACAACATGCGGTGTTTGGTTGTCTGTTCCTGCATTAGTTTGCTGAGACTAATGCCTTCCGACTCCATTCATGTCCCTGCAAAAGACATGATCTCATTCCTTTTTATGAGTGCATAGTATGCCATGGTGTATATGTACCACATTGTCTTTATCCAGTCCATAATTAATGGACATTTAGATTGATTCCATGACTTTGCTATTGCACATAATGCTGCAATGAACATACACGTGCATGTATCTTTATAATTGAATGATTTATATTCCTTTGGGTATCTATCCAGTAATGGGATTGCTGAGTCAAATGGTATTTCTGCCTCTAGGTCTTTGAAGAATTGTCACATTGTCTTCTACAATGGTTGAACTAATTTACATTCCCACCAACAGTGTAAAAGTGTTCATTTTTTTCCACAACCTTGCCAGCATCTTTTTTTTTGACTTTTTAATAATAGCCATTCTGATTGATGTGAGGTGGTGTATGAGTCCATTCTCATGCTGCTATGAAGAAATACTTGAGACTGGGTATTTTATACAGAAAAGAGGTTTCATTGACTCACAAATTCTGCACGGCTGGAAAGGCCTCAGGAAACTTACAAATATGGCAGAAGGCACCACTTCCCAGGGGAGAAGGAGAGAGAATGAGTGCTGAGTGATGAGGGAAGCCCCTTATAAAACAATCAGATCTCATGAGGATTCACTTACTATCATGACAACAGCATGGGCAAAACCACCCCCATGATTCAGTTAGCTCCACCTAGTCCAGCCCTTGGCACATGGGGATTATTACAATTCAAGGTGAGATTTCGGTGGGGACATAGAGCCAAACCGTTTCAGATGGCATCTCATTGTGGTTTTGATTTGCATTTCTCTAATGATCAGTGATGTTGAACTTTCTTCATGTTTGTTGGCTGCATGTATGCCTTCTTTTGAGAAGTGTCTGTTCATGTCCTTTGCCCAATTTTTAACTGGGTTTTTTTTTTCTTGTAAATTTGATTAAATTCCTTAAAAAATAAAATAAAATACATTTTAAATTGGCATTTTTAAAAATAAATAATGATGCTTATTGGCATCTAAATATAGATCTAGGAAGAAGCTTGTAATAAAGCAAATGTAGAGAAGCAACGAGGTGACCATAACTCAAAATACTCTCGAGAATTTTGTAACTTTGCATAAAGCTTACGTTACCTGACAGATCACAGAAATGATATTAATTTTTATTAGAACCATTTTTACATATTCTTATTTGTATTACTATTGATCTTGTCTTAATGAGCCAGACTTTGTTTTTCTGTCATTTGTAAGCAGGGCTAGTGATCTCTGAAAGCATGCAAGAGCATTTTTAGCTCAGACTTTTCACTTCTAAGATGGTCATTTCAGAAAGCTCATTTTAGTGCATGTGTCATAATTTTAACTCTAGAGTTTGCCATTGATCTTCAACACATAATATCTGAAAATTCATCATGTCTATTAAGTTGGTAAAATTTTTTTCAAGATCTATTATATAATAATTCAGTGTTTCTTTGAGCTCTCTTCACCAACACTTTTAGAAGTTCAGGGCTACTAACCTAGCACGGTATGAGCACCAATTTCTCACTTACTTCCTTTCATGAGTTCTCATTTTATAATATTGATTCTACAAGCTGAACTGTTTTACTTTTCTTTCAGCATTTCCTTTTCAATATAGGTTATTTTTCATTGACCACTTCATCTCTTAGAAGTTATATATCTTAAATATTTAAGAAAAGACCTCCTACCTCATGAAGTTTCCTACTGCTAGACAATTCTCTCTTCTTGACATTTTTAATGAGGTTTTTAAACAAAGGACAATTTTTATTCCTAGTTCTGCTTTGGGATTATATGACATACAAACAGCAGATACACATCTGCCTTAATGAAGCAAAGATCTGACTGTGGAAATTTACATCTTTCTTTGTTTGCTCCAAATAAATAAGCCAATATAAAGGTTGCTCTCCCATTCCTAACCAACCAACAGCTGCTCCAGCAGTAGTTGGCACGAACTGACATCCTTGCTGACATTTTTAGAGGCATAGCCAAAGGGTAAATGAACTTACAATTTAGCCTAGACTGTTTCCATGACAGGTGTGCCTACAAAAGAAGTTCAGGATCATTTTAAAGGATTTGTGTAGAAAATACAACACAGCTGCTGAGACCTGTTAGTTCTGTGTAAAGCCTCTCCTATTTCCAAGACAGTTAATTTGATCATTTTTTGAGCGTCACAATCTACATGGCATGAACAATAGGTTCTTTCTGAGAGAGTTTAAAATAAAATATAATATAATTTTTAAAGGCTGGTGTTGCTACTACAAAATAGAAAAGCTCTTTCTTTCCAGTGAGGTGAATTACCATGCTGTACCTGTACTAGGCATATGAATAGAGCAATTCATGTATAAAGATAGCTTTAAAACATGATGCTGTCTTGTGAAAGGAATATCATTTTTAAAGTATAAGCATGAAGGATTTTTCAAAGATGAGTCTTTTTCTCAGAGTAATGTTGCATACAAACTGAAGATTGCCTATTCTATTGGATTGTATAATGAAAAATCAATCAGTTTAATGGTTGATAAACTTTGACATTCAAATAAAAATGTTGCTGCTATTTTCATAAAGACCTGTAGGCAAAATGAGATTCCATGACTTTAATTTATGCAACAGCAAATGTCTGCCAAAACATTGTACAAATGACTGTATAATGAGGCAATAATAACTGAAGGAATCAAGGGAAAGGGAACAGACACCAAACTTTTCCACTTTTTGCAGATTACAGAACTGCTTTGACAAAACCAAATGAGGTAAACTGAAAATGTCCCTCTGCTCTGTCATTACACCAGTGGATTTTGTTTGTGGAGAAATTCTTTTAAATTCTTTGCTATGATGCTTTGGCTATACTGCCCCTATCTTTTCCTCTTTCACAAAATAGATCATTTAAAACTTCCTTTCTTACATTTAAAATTTATTCTTTGTCTCCTGTGTCTTAGATGAACTTACATGTGATCTTTTTAAACCAAGCCTTAAGGCAACGAAAGAAAACACTAGAGGTCTTAATTAATAAAATTGCCAATATTATTAGTCTCAGACATTACCAGTTGCTTTGAGGCTGACGGTATGAGAAATCTTAGTATATGCTCTCTGTGTAGTCTGAATGAGACTGTTTCTATTTTATCCAGGTGTCACATGGGGCTTAAGAATATTTGCAAAGGAGAAACTGTAGAGATGTCAATGAATTTAAGCTGAGTGAGTAGGGATGAACAGAAATAGGGAGGGCTGTTTAGTGAAAACATGGTTAGGTACTTAGTGTACAGGCTCAATGAGTTTGAAGAACTAATGGTGTGCGGTAATTAAGTAATTGAACAAAAAAGTAAGGAATTTGGGGTTAGAGTAGAATGCTTAAATTTAATACTTTGGAGGCAATGCAATGATGGTTGATGGGTAACAATGGGGTTAGTGGTTGATGTAACAATGGGGTTTAGTGGTTAAGGTGGACGGGAGAAAGAAATCATTAAAAGGAGAATACATAAACACTTAAAAGCAAGAATTTTTTATATATTAGCTAAATGAATACTGTAGTTATCAATAATACTAATAATATTCATGATGGAGAGGGAGGAAGACAATGAGCCAAGTGCTGAAGATGGAAATGAATGGTGAGAAGTAAACAGCATTTTACTGGTTAACAATGACAAGAAAATGCAGCAGATGGCATGGCTATTAGCATAAACTCCACAGGATATTCAAAGGAAAAAGGAGAAACGGTTTTGAAGCGGCAATGTGGAGCAAGGAAGATATATATTTTACCTCAGACTCTAGGTTACATGGGTGTGAAAGTTAAAATAATCACCATTTGAAAGGACTTCAGGGAAAGTAGTATCCCCATTGGATATCTAGGTTTAAGTTAGAGCAAGAAGGTGAAAGGAATGTTAAGAATTTTAAAACATTGTGAAGAGTAATATCAAAAAATGTCAGACTAAGATGTTCTAGGCTCTTGTGCCACCACAGAAACATCAGGAAATAATAAGAAACTGACTAAAATAAACTTATAGGATTGTTGGAAAATAGTCAAGGAGCTACAGCAACAAAGTAAATGTCCAATAAAAAAAGCCATATTCAAAATGGTAAGATATTTTGTGGCATTTTTACCTCATTTGTCCCACCCCATCCCAGGTACAGCACAGTCTTGGTTTGGTGGAGGAGGCAGCCCAACTCTCAGTTCCATCTTTTGACTGAAGGGAGTTTATCCGACTTCATATGTGAACTTTTAACCACTCTAGGGGCTGCATGAAGGACCAGTTTTTGTTTCACCATCTCAGATCTCAGGTGGGAACAGCAGCAGGCACAGTTTGGGAAATGTGCAGATGGACTGTAAATGTGCAGACCCCTAGGGCAAATAATTATTGATGGAAACATCTAATAGTCCATCTAAGGCCCTGAAAAGAAGCTAGGGTGAGACTTTTGGGAAATTAACACATTGAAAAGCAACCACATGTATGTGAGACTCAAAAAAGCCACACACAGGCCCAGGCAGAATGCGTGCTCAGAAAAGACCTGAGAAGAACTTAAGTTTTCACCTCAGAATAATTGCAAGACCCATAATACACTCAGCTAATTAGTGAAGGACTGCTTTGGCACAGAGCCAGTCTGCAAAGACTGAGAAAGATGACTTTTTTTAAAATGCTAAATTATTAATAAAAAGTTTACAATGCATAAAAGAAATAGAAAAATGTAGCCCATTGAAAGGAAAAAAAATGTCAAAAACCATCCCAGAAGAATGACAGGCATCAGATTTAACAGACAAATACATGAAAGCAACTATTTCAAATATCCTCAATGTGCTAAAGAAAAACACAAAGAACTAAACTAAATAAGGAGAATGATAATATGTTAAAATGAAACTAATGACAAAAGATAAAAATTATAAAAAGTAGCCAAACATCATTGGATTAGAAGAAATATTTTTTGTTACTATGACAATATGACCGAAAACAATCCATAGGTTCAATTAATCACTATCAAAATTCCAATGACATTTTTGGGGGAGCAGAAATAGAAAAACCTATCCTAAAACTTACATGAAATTTCAAGGGATGCTGAATATATAAAACATTTTTTAGAAAGAAAAACAAAACAGGATGAGTCACATTTCCTGACTTCAAAACTTATTACAAAGCTACAGTAATAAAAAATGTGTGGTATTGAAAAAAGCATAGGCATATAGACTAATGGAATATAATAAATAATTCAAAAATAAACCTTTCTATATATGGTCAAATGATTTTCAATGAGGATGCTAAGACTGTCCAATGGAGAAAAAGATAGTGTTTTCAACAAATGGTGGTGGGAAAACTGGATATCTATATGGAAAAGAATAAAATTGGATTCTTACCTTACACCATATACAAATAGTAAGAGAAAATTAATTGAAGACATAAACATAAGTGCTAAAATTGTAAAACTCTTAGACAAAAAATAAGGACAAATCTTATATGTTCCTGCTTCCCTTTAACCTTTCACCATAATTGTAAGTTTCCTGAGGCCTCCCCAGGAGAAGCCTGTACAGCCTACAGAACTATACGCTGATTAAACCTTTTTAAAAAAACAAAATTACCCACTTTCAGATATTTCTTTATAGCAATGTAAGAATGGACTACTACAGACAATATCAAGAGAATGAACTAAGGCAACAGGTAGAATGTGAGAAAATATATCTGTTAAGGGATTAAAGTCCAGAATACATTAGTATAAATAATGCCTACAACTCAACAACAAAAACCGCCCATTGGAAATGGGCACAGGATTTTGATAGACATTTTTCTGAAGAAGATATGCAAATGGCCAATAAGCATACAAAACAATGCTCAATATCACTAATCCTTAGGAAAATGCAAATCAAAGCCACAATAAGATACCACCTCAGAAGGATTAGAACTGCTATTTAAAAAAACAAAACAACAACAAAAAATAACAGACATTTTTGAGAATGTAAAGAAATAGAAACCCTTGTACATTGTTGCTGGGAATGTAAAATGGTGCAGCTACTATGGAAAATAGTACAGTAATTCCTCAAAAAATTAAACTTATAATTTTCATGTGATCCAGCATTTCTACATCTCCTTCTCCCTCTTTCTATCTCTCTCATTCTCTATTTCTCTCTCTCTCTCTCTATGTGTATATATATATATATCAAAAATATTTAAAAGCAGTGACTTGAATAGACATCTGTACAACAATGTTTATAGCAGCATTATTCACAATAGCCAAAATGTAGAAATGACCTAATTTTCCACCACAGATAAATGGATAAACAAAATATGACAATACATAAGATGGAATAATATTCAACCTTGAAAAGGAATGAAATTCTGACCAATGCTATAACATAGATGAACCTTGAAAACATTATGGTGATATAAGACAGGCACAAAGGACAAGTACTTTAAGATTCCAGTTATACTGGGCACCTATGACAGTCATCCATAAAGACCAAAAGTAGAATGGTGATTTCCAAGGCATGAAGGGAGGAGTAAATGGAGACTTACTGTTTAATGGGTATAGAATGTTTAGTTTTGGATGATGAAAATATTCTGGAGGTAGTGGTGATGGTTGCACAACAATGGGAATGTAATTAATGCCACTGAACTGTACTTTTAAAAACTATACAAATGATAATTTTCATGTTATGTGTATTTTACAACAGTAAAGAATAAAAATTTAAAGACAAAAAATAGTTTTTAATTTTAATTTGAAGTGTACATTTTTTTTCCTGATTACAGATTGTGAGTTGCCAGAGGATATGGTGAATAAACTCAGGGTGGGAAAGGGGTGTGAGATTGGTACAGACTGGGAGCAGCATAGAGATAAGAGGTAAGTAGTCGAGAGATGACCTGGGAACCTAGGTTTCCTGTGGTGACTGAAGAAAGATGTAGGCAACTCAAAATTGGGAGGTGATCTGGGTATGGATAGATTTCATAAAGAAGGTACTGCAAAAGCCTTAGAATACCTGCTTCTTATTAGACCATGATTGTCTAATAAAGGCAATATAGAACAATTGTTTCCCTTATAAAATTTTGGCTTCTAACAAAAAGAGAATTGAATCATGTTTCTACCACTTACCATCAGTGTAGTCCTTTGGCTAAACTTTTGGAACTTATTTTTTCAACTGTGAAATAACATTGATAAGACCTACCTGAAGGAACTGTGTGACTCCAAAGCAATTACATAGTTAGATGCAGTTAAGTGCTGAATATGTTGTCAATACTCAACACTGTTGGCAACAGGCCCCAAAATCTGGCCATAAACTGGCCCCCAAACTG
The DNA here is from genome assembly GCF_000001405.40 of Homo sapiens. Classification (NCBI taxonomy): domain Eukaryota; kingdom Metazoa; phylum Chordata; class Mammalia; order Primates; family Hominidae; genus Homo; species Homo sapiens. The sequence continues at coordinate 85,774,729 of NC_000023.11, read as the reverse complement.
GCCATAAACAAAATCTCTGCAGCACTGTGACATGCTCATGATGGCCTTGACAACCATGCTGGAAGGGTGTCGGTTTACCAAATGAGGGCAAGGAACACCTGGCCCACCCAGGGCAGGAAACCACTTAAGGCATTCTTAAACCACAAACAATAGCATGAACAATCTGTGCCATAAGGACATGTTCCTGCTGCAGATAACTAGCCAGAGCCCATCCCTTTATTTCAGCGCATCCCTTTTTTTCCCTTAAGGAATATTTTTAGTAAATCTTATGACTGGCTTGCTGTCAAGAAATATGTGGGTAAGTCTCTGTTCAAGGCTCTCAGCTCTGAAGCCTGTGAGACCCCGATTTCCCACTCCACACGTGATATTTGTGTGTGTGTGTCTTTAATTCCTCTAGCACCGCAGGGTTAGGGTCTCCCCGACTGAGCTGGTCTCCGCAAAATACAATGGTTAACTTTGTTTTGATTGTTGTAATTATTTTTATATCCATTATTATCATCATCCTTCTATTTTTCTGAAGAACTGTAATAGGATAAAAGGCCTGGGAATCTTAAAAGAAGGAGAGAGGGGCATAGGTGAGAAATTGCTTCAGATGAAACTAAGCTCATCTTTCCATTTTGATATGGACTGGCTCTGTTAATGTAATTGATGAAGAAAGAATGCTCATGAGAAAGTTTAGAAAACATTAACAGAAGAAATATGATAGTTTAAGGCTGTGGCTCCATGCAATTGAAGATTCTATTACATCAAAACAATAAAAATGTATTTTTGTTTATTAATATATACTTCAATGCATCTGCGTATTCTAAAATCACTTTTTCTTATTTCATCAGAACTACATTTCCACTGTTGAAAATTATAAATTTCAGGTAAGCAGAGACAAAGTAAGAATGACACATGAGCTCCTAAAACCCAGAGATAACCACTATTTACCTTTATGCATAGCCTCACAGTTTTTTTCAACTCATATATAATCTTTTAAATAAAAATAAGATCCAACTCCATATACTAATTTAAACTTGAATGTTTTACTTAATACAAAATCTTGAACATATTCCCATGTCAAACAATACAGGGTTACACTGTTACATTTTAGGTACATAGTATTCTGTTGTATGAAAATACCATAATTTATTCAACAGTTTTATTGTTGTACATTTAGTTTATTTTCATTTTTCACTATCAAAAAAGGCACAGTAGTGAACAAACTTTTAAGTAGATTTTCTATCCATCCTATATAATTTTCTTTACATAAGTTGTTGGGGAGAGATTCCTGAACCAAAAGTTATGTAAGGTGGTAAGTTGTACATAAATAAAGAAGAATGTCATTGTGGTACCTGGAATCAGAAAGGCATGAGTTAGAATTCCAGCACCTAAATTTACTAGCTGTGTGATCTTGGGGAAGTTTCTTGACTTACTATTATTCTGTTTTCTCAGTGAGTTATTTATTCTCAATCTCTGCAATAATATAAATAAATATTTGCCTGTCACATAGATTGATGTGAGAAAATACATGTGAACTGCTCAGCAAAGTGCCAGGCATATAGTAAGACTTGTTGAAATATATGTTAATATATTTAAGCTGTATATATTATTCAACATAAGCCACAATAAACACTATAATGCAAGTGGTCCTAGAAGTAACAATGGGGCCCCTTCACAGTTCTGAGTTATGCTAATAAAGGCAACACACAGGGGGGTGGAGGCAAGATGGCCAAATAAGAACAGCTCCAGTCTACAGCTCCCAGTGTGAGTGACACAGAAAACGAATGATTTCTGCATTTCCAACTGAGGTACCGGGTTCATCTCACTGGGGATTGTCGGACAGTGGGTGCAGGACAGTGTGTGCAGCACACTGAGCCTAAACCAAAGTATGACGAGGCATTGCCTCACATGGGAAGCACAAGGGGTCAGGGAATTCCCTTTCCTAGCCAATGAAAGGGGTGACAGATGGCACCTAGAAAATCGGGTCACTCCCACACTAATACTGCACTTTTCCAACAGTCTTAGCAAATGGCACACCAGGAGATTGTATCCCTCGCCTGGCTCAGAGGGTCCTATGCCTACAGAGCCTAGCTCATTGCTAGCACAGCAGTCTGAGATCAAACTGCAAGGCAGCAGCGAGGCTGGGAGAGGGGCGCCCACCATTGCCGAGTCTTGAGTAGGTAAACAAAGCGGCCGGGAAGCTTGAACTGGGTGAAGCCCACCGCAGCTCAAGGAGGTCTGCCTGCTTCTGTAGACTCCACCTCTGGGGGCAGGGCACAGACAAACAAAAGGCAGCAGAAACCTCTGCAGACTTAAAGGTCCCTGTCTGACAGCTTTGAAGAGAGTAGTGGTTCTCCCAGCATGGAGTTTGAGATCTGAAAATGGACAGACTGCCTCCTCAAGTGGGTCCCTGACCCCTGAGTAGCCTAACTGGGAGGCACCCCCTACTAGGGGCAGACTGACACCTCACACGGCCGGGTACTACTCTGAGACAAAACTTCCAGAGGAACGATCCAGCAGCAACATTTGCTGTTCACCAATATCCGCTGTTCTGCAGCCTCTGCTGCTGATACCCAGGCAAACAGGGTCTGGAGTGGAACTCCAGCAAACTCCAACAGACATGGAGCTGAGGGTCCTGAATGTTAGAAGGAAAACTAACAAACAGAAAGGACATCCACACCAAAACCCCATCAGTACGTCACCATCATCAAAGACAAAAGGTAGATAAAACCACAAAGATGGGGAAATAACAGAGCAGAAAAACTGAAAATTCCAAAAATCAGAGTGCCTCTCCTCCTCCAAAGGAATGCAGCTCCTAACCAGCAACAGAACAAAGCTGGACAGGGAATGACTTTGACGAGTTGAGAGAAGAAGTCTTTAGATGATCAAACTACTCTGAGCTAAAGGAGGAAGTTTGAATCCATGGCAAAGCAGTTAAAAACCTTGAAAAAAGATTAGACGAATGGCTAGCTAGAACAACCAATGCAGAAAAGCCCTTAAAGGACCTGATGGAGCTGAAAACCATGGCACGAGAACTACATGATGAATGCACAAGCCTCAGTAGCCGATTTGATCAACTGGAAGAAAGGGTATCAGTGATGGAAGATCAAATGAATGAAATGAAGCAAGAAGAGAAGTTTAGAGAAAAAAGAATAAAAAGAAACAAATAAAGCCTCCAAGAAATATGGGACTATGTGAAGAGAACAAATCTACATCTCATTGGTGTACCTGAAAGTGACGGGGAGAATGGAACCAAGTTGGAAAACACTCTGCAGGATATTATCCAGGAGAACTTCCCCAATCTAGCAAGGCAGGCCAACATTCAGATTCAGGAAATACAGAGAATGCCACAAAGATACTCCTCGAGAAGAGCAACACTAGGACACATAATTGTCAGATTCACCAAAGTTGAAATGAAGGAAAAAATGTTAAGGGCAGCCAGAGAGAAAGGTTGGGTTACCTACAAAGGGAAGCCCATCAGACTAACAGCTGATCTCTTGGCAGAAACTCTACAAGCCAGAAGAGAGTGGGGGCCAATATTCAACATTCTTAAAGACAAGAATTTTCAACCCAGAATTTCATATCCAGCCAAACTAAGCTTCATAAGTGAAGGAGAAATAAAATACTTTACAGACAAGCAAATGCTTGAGAGATTTGGTCACTACCAGGCCTGCCCTAAAAGAGCTCCTGAAGGAAGCACTAAACATGGAAAGGAACAACTGGTACCAGCGACTGCAAAATCATGCCAAATTGTAAAGACCATCAAGGCTAGGAAGAAACTGCATCAACTAACGAGCAAAATAACCAGCTAACATCATAATGACAGGATCAAATTCACACATAACAGTATTAAACTGAAATGTAAATGGGCTAAATGCTCCAATTAAAAGACACAGACTGGCAAATTGGGTAGAGTCAAGACCCATCAGTGTGCTGTATTCAGGAAATCCATCTCATGTGCAGAGATACACATAGGCTGAAAACAAAGGGATGGAGGAAGATCTGCCAAGCAAATGGAAAACAAAAAATGGCAGGGGTTGCAATCCTAGTCTTGGATAAAACAGACTTTAAACCAACAAAAATCAAAAGAGACAAAGAAGGCCATTACATAATGGTAAAGGGATCAATTCAACAAGATGAACTAACTATCCTAAATATATATGCACCCAATACAGGAGCACCCAGATTCATAAAGCAAGTTCTTAGTGACTACAAAGATACTTAGACTCCCACACAATAATAATGGGAGACTTTAACAACCCACTGTCAACATTGGACAGATCAACGAGACAGAAAGTTAAAAAGGATATCCAGGAATTGAACTCAGCTCTGCACCAAGCGGACCTAATAGACATCTACAGAGCTCTCCACACCAAAACAAAAAAATATACATTCTTTTCAGCACCACACCACACCTATTCCAAAATTGACCACATGTTTGAAAGTAAAGCACTCCTCAGCAAATGTAAAAGAACAGAAATTATAACAAACTGTCTTTCAGACCACATCGTAATCAAACTAGAACTCAGGATTAAGAAACTCACTCAAAACTGCTCAACTACATGGAAACTGAACAACCTGCTCCTGAGACTACTGGGTACATAACAAAATGAAGGCAGAAATAAAGATGTTCTTTGAAACCAATGAGAACAAAGACACAACATACCAGAATCTCTGGGACACATTCAAAGCAGTGTGTGAGGGAAAATTATAGCACTAAATGCCCACAAGAGAAAGCAGGAAAGATCTAAAATTGACACCCTAACATCACAATTAAAAGAACTAGAGAAACAAGAGCAAACACATTCAAAAGCTAGCAGAAGGCAAGAAATAACTAAAATCAGAGCAGAACTGAAGGCAATAGAGACACAAAAAACCTTTCAAAAAATTAATGAATCCAGGAGCCGATTTTTTGAAAAGATCAACAAAATTGATAGACCACTAGCAAGACTAATAAAGAAGAAAAGAGAGAAGAATCAAATAGATGCAATAAAAAATGATAAAAGGGATATCACCACCGATCCTACAGAAATGCAAACTACCATCAGAGAATACTGTAAACACCTCTACACAAATAAACTAGAAAATCTAGAAGAAATGGATAAATTCCTCGACGCATACACCCTCCCAAGACTAAACCAGGAAGAAGTTGAATCTCTGAATAGACCAATAACAGAAGCAGAAATTGAGGCAATAATTAATAGCTTACCGACCAAAAAGAGTCCAGGACCAGATGGATTCACAGCTGAATTCTACCAGAGGTACAAGGAGGATCTGGTACCATTCCTCCTGAAACTAATACAATCAATAGAAAAAGAGGGAATCCTCCCTAACTCATTTAATGAGGCCTCATTATCCTGATTCCAAAGACTGGCAGAGACACAACAAAAAAAGAGAATTTTAGACCAATATCCCTGATGAACATCGATGCAAAAGTTGTCAATAAAATACTGGTAAACCGAATCCAGCAGCACATCAAAAAGCTTATCCACCATGATCAAGTGGGCTTCATCCCTGGGATGCAAGGCTGGTTCAACATACGCAAATCAATAAACATAATGCAGCATACAAACAGAACCAACAACAAAAACCACATGATTATCTCAAAAGATGCAGAAAAGGCCTTTGACAAAATTCAACATCCCTTCATGCTAAAAACTCTCAATAAATTAGGTATTGATGGGACGTATCTCAAAATAATAAGAGCTATCTATGACAAACCCACAGCCAATATCATACTGAATGGGCAAAAACTGGAAGCATTCCCTTTGAAAACTGGCACAAGACAGGGATGCCCTCTCTCACTACTCCTATTCAACATAGTGTTGGAAGTTCTGGCCAGGGCAATTAGGCAGGAGAAGAAAATAATGGGTATTCAATTAGGAAAAGAGGAAGTCAAATTGTCCTTGTTTGCAGATGACATGATTGTATATTTTGAATACCCCATCGTCTCAGCCCAAAATCTCCTTAATCTGAGAAGCAACTTCAGCAAAGTCTCAGGATACAAAATCAATGTGCAAAATTCTCAAGCATTCTTATACACCAATAACAGACAGAGAGCAAAATCATGAGTGAACTCCCATTCACAATTGCTTCAAAGAGAATAAAATACTTAAGAATTCAACTTACAAGGGATGTGAAGGACCTCTTCAAGGAGAACTACAAACCACTGCTCAATGAAATAAAAGAGGATACAAACAAATGGAAGAACATTCCATGCTCATGGATAGGAAGAATCAATATCGTGAAAATGGCCATACTGCCCAAGATAATTTATAGATTCAATACCATCCCCATCAAGCTACCAATGACTTTCTTCACAGAATTGTAAAAAACTACTTTAAAGCTCATATGGAACCAAAAAAGAGCAAGCATTGCCAAGTCAATCTTAAGCCAAAAGAACAAGGCCAGAGGCATCACGCTACCTTACTTCAAACTATACTACAAGGCTACAGTAACCAAAACAGCATGATACTGGTACCAAAGCAGAGATATAGATCAATGGAACAGAACAGATCCCTCAGAAATAATGCTGGATATCTACCACTATCTGATCTTTGACAAACCTAACAAAAACAAGCAATGGGGAAAGGATTCCCTATTTAATAAATGGTGCTGGGAAAACTGGCTAGCCATATGTAGAAAGCTGAAAATGGATCCCTTCCTTACACCTTATACAAAAATTAATTCAAGATGGATTAAAGACTTAAATGTTAGACCGAAAATCATAAAATCCCTAGAAGAAAACCTAGGCAATACCATTCAGGACATAGGCATGGGCAAGGACTTCATGTCTAAAACACCAAAAGCAATGGCAACAAAAGCCAAAATTGACAAATGGGTTCTAATGAAACTAAGGAGCTTCTGCACAGTAAAAGAAACTACCATCAGAGTGAACAGGCAACCTACAGAATGGGAGAAAATTTTTGCAATATACTCATCTGACAAAGGGCTAATATCCAGAATCTACAAAGAACTCAAACAAATCTAGAAGAAAAAAACAAACAATCCCATCAAAAAGTGGTTGAAGGATATGAACAGACACTTCTCAAAAGAAGACATTTATGCAGCCAACAGACACATGAAAAAATGCTCATCATCACTGGCCATCAGAGAAATGCAAATCAAAACCAAAATGAGATACCATCTCACACCAGTTAGAATGACGATCATTAAAAAGTCAGGAAACAACAGGTGCTGGAGAGGATGTGGAGAAATAGGAACACTTTTACACAGTTGGTGGGACTGTAAACTAGTTCAACCCTTGTGGAAGTCAGTGTGGCGATTCCTCAGGGATCTAGAACTAGAAATACCATTTGACTCAGCCATCCCATTACTGGGTATATACCCAAAGGATTATAAATCATGCTGCTATACAGACACATGTACACGTATGTTTATTGCGGCACTATTTACAGTAGCAAAGACTTGGAACCAAGCCAAATGTCCAACAATGATAGACTGGATTAAGAAAATGTGGCACATATACACCGTGGAATACTATGCAGCCATAAAAAACGATGAGTTCATTTCCTTTGTAGGGACATGGATGTAGCTGGAAATGATCATTCTCAGCAAACTATCACAAGGACAAAAAACCAAACACTGCATGTTCTCACTCACAGGTGGGAATTGAACAATGAGAACACATGGAGAGAGGAAGGGGAACATCACACACTGGGGCCTGTTGTGGGGTGGGGGAAGGAGGGAGGGATAGCATTAGGAGACATACCTAATGTTAAATATCTAGTTAATGGGTGCAGCACACCTACATGGCACATGTATACATATATAACAAACCTGCACGTTGTGCACATGTACCGTAAAACTTAAAGTGTAATGAAAAAAAGCAGTTGATTAAATTTAATAAAACTCATCATCAAAAGTTTTTTAAGAAAAAAAAAGAGGCAACACACAATGGATGGACTCAGGTACATGCAAATATCACAAGAGAAAGAGTGTCTTCCAACCCAAAAAGTGGAAGAGAGTGCTAGACTGCAGCCTAATCAATGGTATTGACAGGTGCAAATATTCTAATAACAGGAAAGAATTTGTCAATTTTGAAACAAAATACATTTATTCAGGGTGGGTATTATAGGGGCATGATCTAGGAGAAAATGTATTAGTGAACTAAGATGAATGTTTGTTCAGTTGGTCTATCTTTCCAGTGGAGATGGATTAATTACTCTCCTAGCTGGAAGACAGGAGCCATGAAAATCATCCAGCTCATTCCCTTGCTGTATATTACTGGGTTTATTTGATCACTTTCTGATTATAATGTGGCTTTCCATGTAAACTTTCCTATAGAGAAGAGAATGTATGTATGTAAGAGAATCAATGCATCTATGTATTCCAGCCCTTGTGACAATTGTACTCTAAGAGTAACTTAGTAAATCGGTATTCTGTTTCATATCTCAGTATTTTTGTGAATTTGGTGGGCAAAAACTATTCCCAAAAACTTTTATTATTTTAGAGGCAGTATCAAGACTCAGTTTCTAGCCCTAAAAAGCTACATCAATTTAGCAAACCCATCTCTCTCTGTCCTCTCTGCTCCCAAAGCTGTTTTCAGTCAAAGAGGATAATTTTCCCAGAGATGAGTGCCATCAAAGGTATCAAATGGCTGTGTTTCTATACTATTGTGTATGACATAAACCTGATGCCCTGAGTTCTAGACTTCCAATTCAAAATTATTTTAATCAAAGAACTATTTGAATCTGCCCTGAGTTTCAAATGTCTATATTAAAACATAAAAGACAATGATTGTCTTTTTCCTCCTCTGGTTCTATTGTAATAACACTTTCTTGTTAGGCCTATAATTCCAAAATCCTTCCAAACAAAGGCAGTTTTGTCCTGGAAAGTGGTATTGCATAGCACTTTAGAGGCTGGGTTTAGCTCAGTCAAGACCAGAGGAAAATGCTCTCCATTGACATCCAATATTGCCCGAGATCACTGGAGGCATTCCTGTTTCTTATACAACACATGATGGCTTTGGTGACCTTTGTATCACACCCTGATAATTCATTCGCCCTGCACCACAATTTCTGTCCTCCCTTGTGTTCTATTTTGAGTCCTTATTGATCGGATATTCTCTAACTACTCTCTATTAAGATAAAGATAGGTAAATGCCAACTTCTCCGTATGGAATATGTGGGTTACTTTGAAGTTCTAGTAGACAAGCATAGCTATTTTGGTACAATCGATAGTTCTCTGTGGCAAAATCATCCTCTTTGACTTAAATCAGCTTTGGGAGTAAGGAGGGTAGAGAGAGATGGGTTTGCTAAATTAATCCTAATGATCAATGGAATGGCAAACGTGACAACAAGCTCACTCTTCTATTCAAGTACAACTTCCCTAATGGAAAAAAAATAACTGAAATGCAGAGCACACTCACAGAGAGTCAATAATATCTTCTTCCTACTCAAAATTATAGGGCCCATACTGGAATACATTTTTTAAAACTAAATTACATTCATTTTTTGAAATAGCTAATATATATACATGGTATAAAATACAAAACAAATAAATGGGTATACAATTAAAATTGTCTCCCTTTTACTTAGACACCCAGTTTCTCTCTTCATAGGCAATTGTTAACAATTCTTTGAGTATGGTTTCTGACATATTTTATGCATATTTAAATTCTTTTTATACAAATAGTAAGGTAATATAATGCCTTGCTTCCTTAATTAAAACTATCATGGGGATTGTTGAATATCAGTAGAGAGCTGCATCATCTTTTTGATGGCTGCATGATATTCATTAACAATATATCACAAATCATTTAACCAGTCCCTCTGATGGTAGATATATAAGCTTCATTCAAAGAATTCATATTGTACCACTGGGATCTTCTTTTTCTTCCTCACTTTTCTTGGCCCCAAAGGCATTCAGTGCTTTTTTCCTGCTCTCTGGGTGGTCAAAATTCTGTATTTTCTGCCCCATATTTTCTTATCTTTAGTAGAAATATCGTTTTTCTAATTTTACAATTACATTTATAGCATAGTATCTGTCACCAAGTGCTCCATAAATACTAGATTTGTTCCCTCAGACTGCTTATATGAATTGCTATGTGCCACAAAGAAAATAGTCTGATTAACCAAATGACACTAATGATCAATCATACATCATCTTGTAATCCAGTTAGATATGTTTGCATTTTAAAAGAAGACTTTAAAAATCAGAGATGAATTTCCAGGGATTTAAATTGAAAATTAATGTGAATAAATCAAATCAAATAATCTGAATAAATCAAGTAAATCAAATACAAGTATCTGGAGGGTCACCTTCTCAGAATCTCTTAAACATCATTAGACTAGCTATTGTCTGGTTTATTTATAACACTTGGCCTTCAAAGGCTGGCTCTGGATTAGATAATCTTTAAGGTATTATTCAGTTCTAACTTTCTGTGATTCCTATCTCCATTATGGAGAAACCACATTAGTAAACATGTTTTAACATAAAAAGCCAATTACAATCTTAGTTGCTTGATTTTTGCCAATTCCATGCTGATTTAACTATACTTGAATATCACCTTTAAAATATATATCGAAGTTTTATATTATCAATATATTAATAATGAAAATGTTTAATCACTACTTTGCTAAATTAGACAATGGTAACTGTTTGTTCAACAGCAGAAACACCATGGTACTTGGACAAACATAAGAATAAGGGCTTCTTTAAATTTTGTACCCTAGGACCACACTTGCTTCACCCTATTTCCAGTCCTGGTTTCAGCTGTGAGCTAAGCTTAACTCTATGGACTAAAAGGAGATCTTTCTCTCCTCTAAGTCCTATGCCAGTGATTTTCAACTTGTGGTGCATCAGAATCACTGAAGGGCTTGTTAAAATACAGATGTCTGGGCCCCAACTGCAGAGTTTCTGCTTGAATAGTTCTGGAACAGGGCCTGAGTATTGGCATTTCTAACAAGTTTCCAGGTGATGCCAATGATGCTTGTGCTCCTTTGGAGGAGCGTGGGAGGAACACACTTTGAGGACCACCATCCTAATCGCAAATGCCTAAGAGCGTCCTGCCCTGTAAACTTCATGCTCTAAAATTTACAAGTGCAGGCTCTATCCCTGTTGGAGGAAGTCTGTCTCAGTTCACTGCTGTTGATGACTGAGCTTCTAATTTTATTTCCAGGGTTAGTATTAGGAGGCCTATTTGCCTGCAGATTTATCACATGCTTCAATATGAGCTTTATTAGTACAGGCAAAATTTTAGACTCCCATATTCTGACTCTTCTTAATTGGTTCAGAATACCTGTAAGAAAATGAACAGCTGTTCTACCCCCAAACCCTAAAATACAACAAACAATATCAGACACGTGAATCTGTTATAGAGTATCTTTATTATGTTTCAGTGGATACATTCCAGAGTCTGGAAATATACTCAGGTATCTGGCTGAGAAAATCTGCCAGGAGTAGGGGTGGAATTATTCTAAGCAAAACAATGTTTGCTAGGTGAAATGTTATTCATTTATACATTTACTCAGTAGCTAATCAATCAGTATTTTTATCAACAAAAATTATTAAGTATATTATACGTGGCAGACATTTTTATCTGCTGAGAAAAAGTGTTGAAAAATAGACGAGGTCCCTACTCTTGTGGAACTTACATTGAAATAAACACACACCCACACACACACACACACAAATAAACAACAAAATATTAACTGGTTATAAGTACTACAATGGACTAAGAAAAAGTGATTCATAAGAGCGAGTTAACACAGGAACAGAATACTAAGTACCACATGTTTTCACTTATGAGTGTGGGCTAAATTTTGAGTACACATGTATACAAACAAGGCAACAGTGGATACTGGGGACCACTAAAGGAGGGAGGGAGAGAGGGATAAAGATTGAAAAAGTAACTATTTGGTACTGTACTAAATTCCTGGGTGAGGGGCTCAATCATAATCCATACCTCAGCATCACACAATGTACCCATGTTACAAACCTACACCTGTACCCCCTGAATCTAAAGTAGAAACTGAAATTATAAAATAACTAAATAACTAAATAAATAAATAAATAAAAATAAATAAAATTTGAAAACAACTTGCTTGGTAAGATATATTAAATCAATAAAATACTCACTAAAGAGTTAAACTTTAGACTGAGCTCTGAATAATGAATAGAAAAGAAAGAGCAAATCAAAGTTCTGGAAAAAGTGAAGCAGGAAGATAACTTAGAAGATTATTGAAGTAATCCAATGAGAAACTCTGTTAACTAGGACTGTGCAGGTATCAGAGGATAGCAAAGAGGGATGACTTCAAAAACCATTTAGGAAGCCAACCTACAATGAATTGTATATAGCATCAAAGGGAGGAAACTACACCTAGTTTATGGCTGTGGTTACCGGATTGTTGGTGATGCCATGCTCTAAGACAAGTAAGAGTAGAAGGCGATGAAGCAACTTTGGGGGAAAAGAAGAGACCGAACTATTGGAGATATAGATAGATTTAGATTAGATAGATAGATAGATCTGGAGTTCAGGGAAAAAGTCTGAGCTAGAGCTGGGAGTTGTCAGCATGACAAACAATCATTTAAACAATGGGAATGAATGAGATAGTTAATAAGTGTGTAGGAAAAGAAAAGGTCCAAGGGCAGAACTTGCACATTACTAGAGTGGTTAATTAAAGATTGAGTCTCAAATATCATTTAACTATGTGAATGTTCATACTATTCAGTTATAAATTTTCTTAAAGCAATGACACACAAAGCAGAAATAAAATATTGCTTAAATTAAGCATTCCAAAAATCACTTGAAATCTGATAGTTATTATTTTCCCCAAAAAAAGTCTGTCTATCTGTATGTATGTGTTTACAGTTTGGCTATTTGACTATATGATTTTATTTTTATTTTATATCATTCAAGTAATTCTTTGTCTGAAAATTTTCTCACTACCAAAAAAAAAAATTCACAAATTATGTATGCTAGTACCATTTTTCCCTCATGTGTAGTTCAGATATACTTAAAGGCTGACACCAAAATGGAACTAGATGTATAAGAGATTTATTGGGAGAGGTAGCAGGAGAAGAAGGAGAGAAATTTTAGACCACAATTCAGATATGACACTAATGGATGAAGAGATGAAAGGAAAAAAGATTGACTGAAGAGTCTTGAAATGCAGCAGAGCAAGCCAATGGGAAGTCCTCAAGCCTAAGTCTCCCACTGAAAAAGTCTCACATCTCCCAAGAATTATCTTGTTATTTTATCTCCCCAGTGCTTAGTCTTTGTCTGGGAGCAACTCACAGGAAGCATAGCATCATAAATGCAGTGGTAGTCTTTCTCTCTTTGCCTGCCTCATCCATGTAAGACGTGACTTGCTTCCTTGTCTCCTGCCATGATTGTGAGGCCTCCTCAGCCACATGAAACTTTATTCTGGATCATAACGGTGGATGGGAGGCAGAACTAGATTGCAGCCCCAACTCACATGGACAAAGTCGAGTGTGGAGGCTTGCATCATGAACTTTAGCTCCAGAAGGACTGCAAGAACAAACCCAGAATCCAAAGAGGACCCACAGACCCTCTGAAAGAAGTAGACTGTTACTTCAAGACCCAGAAGACATCCCACATACTATGAGTTCCCAAACTGTGGAAGTGGGAAAAGGAGATCTTCTGCTCCTGAACACACATCACCACTGGGAAAATTGAAGGTCTAATTTGCAGGAGAAGTTTCTGACCTTACCTGGAGCTGAGTCAATTTAGAGAGCCAAGTGAAATACAGGGGAAGAGAAAGTAGCAGGAAAGGCCCTGGGAGCTCACTGAGTCCCCAAGTGGGCCACTCCTGATTGGCACCACAGGGATCCTTTGGGAGGGAGACCAGAGGTGTGAGGGAAAATGCCACAGGGAAAAGAAAAAGTCTCTGGTTGAATTTTGTAACAACTTGAACCAGGATAGAAGCCTCCTGGCCAGAACTCAGGGGAGGGTGCAAATCCAGTGTGCAGGCTCCACAGGTGGGGGAAGAACCAAAGCCCTTTACTTTTGCAGTTGGGAGGTGGGTAGCCCTGCTCACCCACTGCATGAAAACAGACTGAGGGCTGTTGGGAGGGGGCACGGTAGTAGTGAGACCAGTCCTTCAAATTGTATGGGGGCTGTGTGAGGCCTGTAACTGCCAGCTTTACCCACTTCCCTGACAACCTGCATGACACAGCAGAGGCAGCCATAATCCTCCAAGGTACACAACTCCATTGAACTGGGAAACTCACCCCCATCCGCCACAGTAGCAGCAACAAAACCTACACAAGCAGAGTCTGGGCTCAGACACACCAGTCCTGCCCCAACCTGATGGGCCTTCGCTATCCACCCTGGTATCTGAAGACAAAGGGTATATACTCGTGGGAGTTCTAGGGCCCCACCCGTCACCAGTTCCTCTCCATACTGCCACAGCTGATGCTCTCTGGAAAGCACCACCTCATGGCAGGAGGCCAACCAGCATAAAAATTGAACATTAAACCACCAAAACAAAGAACCCTCACAAAGACCATTTCACCCCCTTGCCACCTCCACCAGAACAGGTGCTGGTGTCCATAGCTGAGAGACCAACAGATGGTTCACATCACAGGACTCTGTGCAGACAACCCCAGTACCAGCTCAGAACTGGGTAGAATTTCTGAGTGGCTAGACCCAGAAGAGAGACAACAATCACTGCAGCTCAGCTCACAGGAAGTCACATCCATAGGAAAAGGGGGAGACTATTACATCAAGGGAACACCCCGTGGGACAAAAGAATCTGAACAACAGTCTTCAGCCCTAGACATTCCCTCTGACAGAGCCTACCAAAACGAGAAGAAACTAGAAAACCAACTCTGGTAATATGACAAAACAAGGCTGTTTAGCACCCTCGAAAAATCACACTAGATCACCAGCAATGGATGCAAACCAAGAAGTCCCTGATTTACCTGAAAATAATTCAGGGGGTTAGTTATTAATCTAATCAGGGAGGCACGAGAGAAAGGCAAAACCCAGTGCAAGGATATCCAAAAAATGATAAGAAGTGAAGGGAGAAATATTTAAGGAAAGTCTCAGCAATAGAATTCAACAAGTAGAAAAAAGAAATTCAGAGCTAGAATACAAGGTCTTCAAATTAACCCAATCCAACAAAGACAAAGAAAAAATAATAAGAAAATATGAACAAAGCCTCCAACAAGTCTGGAATTATGTTGAATGACCAAACCTAAGAATAATCAGTGTTCCTGAGGAAGAAATCTAAAACTTTGGAAAACATATTTGGGGGAATAATCAAAGAAAACTTCCCTGGCCTTGTTAGAGACCTAGACATTCAAATACAAGAAGCACAGTGAACACCTGGAAAATTCATCACAAAAAGATCACCACCTAGGGGCATTGTCATCAGGTTATCTAAAGTTAAGACAAGGAAAGAATCTTAAGAGCTGTGAGACAAATGCACCAGGTAACCTATGAAGGAAAACCTATCAAATTAACAGCAGATTTCTCAGCAGAAGTCATAGAAGCTAGAGGGATGGGGGCTCTATCTTCAGCCTCCTCAAACAAAACAATTATCATCCAAGAATTTTTTATCCAGTGAAACTAGGCATCATATATAAAGAAAAGATACAGTCTTTTTCAGACGAACAAATGCTGAGACAATTCGTCACTACCAAGCCATCACTACAAGAACTGCTAAAAGGAGCACTAAATCTTGAAACAAATCCTGGAAACATATCAAAATAACCTTTTTAAA
This sequence comes from Homo sapiens, assembly GCF_000001405.40. NCBI lineage: Eukaryota > Metazoa > Chordata > Mammalia > Primates > Hominidae > Homo > Homo sapiens. The sequence goes on along the minus strand of NC_000023.11, from coordinate 85,759,031 downwards.
GCATAAATCGCACAGGACCCATAAAACAAAAATACAATTTAAAAAACAAAAACAACAACAACAGCAAAAAACAAGGTACAGAGGCAACAAATAACATGATGAGTGCAATGTTACCTCACATCTCTATACTACCATTGAATGTAAATGGCCTAAATGTTCCAATTAAAAGACACAGAACTCCAGAATGGATAAGAACTCACCAATCAATTATCTGCTGTCTTCAGGAGACTCCCCTAACACATAAGGACTCACATACACTTAAGGTAAAGGGGTTGAAAAAAGCATTTCATGCAAATGGACATCAAAAGCAAGCAGGGGTAGCTATTCTTATATCAGACAAAGCAAACTTTAAAGCAACAGCATTTAAAAAAGACAAAGAGAAACATTATATAATGGTAAAAGGCCTTGTCCAACAGGAAAATATCACAATCCTAAACATATATGCACCTAAAACTGGAACTCCCAAATTAATTAAACAATTGCTAATAGACATAAGAAATGAGGTAGACAGCAACACAATAATAGTGGGAGACTTCATTACTCCACTGACAGCACTAGGTAGGTCATCAAGATAGAAAGTCAACAAAGAAACAATGGATTTAAACTATACCTTGAAACAAAGGTACTTAACAAAATACAGAACATTTTATCCAAAAACTGCAGAATACACATTATATGAAACAGTGCATGAAACTTTCTCCAAGACAGACCATAAAATAGGCCATAAAACAAGCCTCAATAAATTTAAGAAAATTGAAATCATATCAAGCACTCTCTCAGACAACAGTGAAATAAAACTGGAAATCAACTCCAAAACGAAACTTCAAAACCATGCAAGTACATGGAAATTATATAACCAGCTCCTGAATGAGCATTGGGTCAAAAACAAAATCAAGATGGAAATTTAGATATTCTTTGAACTGAATGAGAATAAAGAAAAAACCTGTTAAAACCTCTGGGATACAGCAATGGCGGTGCTAAGAGAAAAGTTCATAGCCTTAAATGACTACATCAAAAAGACTGAAAGAGCACAAACTGACATTCTAAGGTAACCCCTCAAGGAACTAGAGAAACAAGAACAAACCAAACCCAAACCCAGCAGAAGAAAGGAAATAATCAAAATTAAAGCAGAAGTAAAGGGAATTGAAAAAAAAATACAAAGGTGGGGGGGAGACAAGATGGCTGAATAGGAACAGCTCTGGTCTACAGCTCCCAGCGTGAGCGACACAGAAGATGGGTGATTTCTGCATTTCCATCTGAGGTACTGGGTTCTTCTCACTAGAGAGTGCCAGACAGAGGGTGCAGGACAGTGGGTGCAGTGCACCATGCATGAGCTGAAGCAGGGCAAGGCATTGCCTCACTTGGGAAGTGCAAGGGGTCAGGGAGTTCCCTTTCCTAGTCAAAAAAAGGGGTGACAGATGGCACCTGGAAAATCGGGTCACTCCCACCCCAATACGGCGTTTTTCCAACAGGTTTAAAAAACGGCTAACTAGGATATTATATCCTGCACCTGGCTCAGAGGGTCCTACAACCACGGAGTCTCGCTGATTGCTAGCACAGCAGTCTGAGATCAAACTGCAAGGTGGCAGTGAGGCTGGGGTAGGGGCACCGGCCATTGCCCAGGCTTGCTTAGGTAAACAAAGCAGCTGGGAAGCTCGAACTGGCTGGAGCCCACCACAGCTCAAGGAGGCCTGCCTGCCTCTATAGCCTCCACCTCTGGGGTCAGGGCACAGACAAACAAAAAGACAGCAGTAACCTCTGCAGACTTAAATGTCCCTGTCTGATAGCTTTGAAGAGAGCAGTGGTTCTCCCAGCATGCAGCTGGAGATCTGAGAACGGGCAGATTGCCTCCTTAAGTGGGTCCCTGACCCCTGACCCCTGAGCAGCCTAACTGGGAGGCACCCCCCAGTAGGGGCAGACTGACACCTCACACAGCCGGGTACTCCTCTGAGACAAAACTTCCAGACGAACGATCAGACAGCAGCATTCACGATTCACAACAATCTGCTGTTCTGCAGCCACTGCTGCTGGTACCCAGGCAAACAGGGTCTGGAGTGGACCTCTAACAAACTCCAACAGACCTGCAGCTGAGTGTCCTGTCTGTTAGAAGGAAAACTAACAAACAGAAAGGACATCCACACCAAAAACCCATCTGCACATCACCATCATCAAGGACCAAAAGTAGATAAAACCACAAAGATGGGGAAAAAACAGAGCAGAAAAACTGGAAACTCTAAAATTCAGAGCGCCTCTCCTCCTCCACAGGAATGCAGCTCCTCACCAGCAATGGAACAAAGCTGGACGGAGAATGACTATGACGAGGTGAGAGAAGAAGGCTTCAGACGATCAAACTACTCTGAGCTTCAGGAAGAAATTCAAACCAAAGGCAAAGAAGTTGAAAATTTTGAAAAAAATTTAGAAGAATGTATAACTAGAATAACCAATACAGAGAAGTGCTTAAAGGAGCTGATGGAGCTGAAAGCCAAGACTCGAGATCTATGTGAAGAATGCAGAAGCCTCAGGAGCTGATGTGATCAACTGGAAGAAAGGGTATCAGTGATGGAAGATGAAATGAATGAAATGAAGTGAGAAGGGAAGTTTAGAGAAAAAAGAATAAAAAGAAATGAACAAAGCCTCCAAGAAATATGGGACTATGTTTAAAGACCAAATCTACATCTGATTGGTGTACCTGAAAGTGATGGGGAGAATGAAACCAAGTTGGAAAACACTCTGCAGGATATTATCCAGGAGAACTTCCCCAATCTAGCAAGGCAGGCCAATGTTCAGATTCAGGAAATACAGAGAACACCATAAAGATACTCCTTGAGAAGAGCAACACTAGGACACATAATTGTCAGATTCACCAAAGTTGAAATGAAGGAAAAAATGTTAAGGGGAGCCAGAGAGAAAGGTTGGGTTACCCACAAAGGGAAGCCCATCAGACTAACAGCGGATCTCTCAGCAGAAACTCTACAAGCCAGAAGAGAGTGGGGGCCAATATTCAACATTCTTAAAGAAAAGAATTTTCAACCCAGAATTTCATATCCAGCCAAACTAAGCTTCATAAGTGAAGGAGAAATAAAATACAAACAAGCAAATGCTGAGAGATTTTGTCACCACCAGGCCTGCCCTTAAAGAGCTCCTGAAGGAAGCACTAAACATGGAAAGGAAAAACCGGTACCAGCCGCTGCAATGTCATGCCAAAATGTAAAGACCATCGAGACTAGGAAGAAACTGCATCAACTAATGAGCAAAATAACCAGCTAACATCATAATCACAGGATCAAATTCACACATAACAATATTAACTTTAAATGTAAATGGACTAAATGCTCCAAATAAAAGACACAGACTGGCAAATTGGATAAATTTGGACCCATCAGTGTGCTGTATTCAGGAAACCCATCTCAATGCAGAGACACACATAGGCTCAAAATAAGAGGATGGAGGAAGATCTACCAAGCAAATGGAAAACAAAAAAAGTCTGGGGTTGCAATCCTAGTCTCTGATAAAACAGACTTTAAACCAACAAAGATCAAAAGAGACAAAGAAGGCCATTACATAATGGTAAAGGGATCAATTCAACAAGAAGAACTAACTATCATAAATATATATTCACCCAATACAGGAGCACCCAGATTCATAAAGCAAGTCCTGAGTGATCTACAAAGAGACTTAGACTGCCACAAAATAATAATGGGAGACTTTAACACCACACTGTCAACATTAGACAGATCAATGAGACAGAAGATTAACAAGGATATCCAGGAATTGAATTCAGCTCCGCACCAAGCGGACCTAATAGACATCTACAGAACTCTCCACCCCAAATCAACAGAATATACATTTTTTTCAGCACCACACCACACCTATTCCAAAATTGACCACACAGTTGGAAGTAAAGCTCTCCTCAGCAAATGTAAAAGAACAGAAATTATAACAAACTATCTCTCAGACTACAGTGCAATCAAACTAGAACTCAGGATTAAGAAACTCACTCAAAACTGCTCAACTACATGGAAACTGAACAGCCTGCTCCTGAATGACTACTGGGTACATAACAAAATGAAGGCAGAAATAAAGATGTTCTTTGAAGCCAACAAGAAGAAAGACACAACATACCAGAATCTCTGGGACACATTCAAAGCAATGTGTAGAGGGAAATTTATAGCACTAAATGCCCACAAGAGAAAGCAGGAAAGATCTAAAATTGACACCCTAACATCACAATTAAAAGAACTAGAAAAACAAGAGTGAACACATTCGAAAGCTAGCAGAAGGCAAGAAATAACTAAAATCAGAGCAGAACTGAAGGATATAGAGACACAAAGAACCCTTCAAAAAATTAATGTCTCCAGGAGCTGGTTTTTTGAAAAGATCAACAAAATCGATAGACCGCTAGCAAGACTAATAAAGAAGAAAAGAGAGAAGAATCAAATAGATGCAATAAAAAATGATAAAGGGGATATCACCACCGATCCCACAGAAATACAAACTACCATCAGAGAGTACTACAAACACCTCTCCGCAAATAAACTAGAAAATCTAGAAGAAATGGATAAATTCCTCAACACATACACCCTCCCAAGACTAAACCAGGAAGAAGTTGACTCTCTGAATAGACCACTAACAGGCTCTAAAATTGTGGCAATAATCAATAGCTTACCAACCAAAAAGAATCCAGGACCAGATGGATTCACAGCCGAATTCTACCAGAGGTACAAGGAGGAACTGATACCATTCCTTCTGAAACTATTCCAATCAATAGAAAAAGAGGGAATACTCCCTAACTCATTTTATGAGGCCAACATCATCCTGATACCAAAGCCAGGCAGAGACACAACCAAAAAAGAGAATTTTAGACCAATATCCTTGATGAACATTGATGCAAAAATCCTCAATAAAATACCGGCAAACCGAATCCAGCAGCACATCAAAAAGCTTATCCACCATGATCAAGTGGGCTTCATCCCTGGGATGCAAGTCTGGTTCAATATACACAAATCAATAAATGTAATCCAGCATATAAACAGAACCAAAGACAAAAACCACATGATTATCTCAATAGATGCAGAAAAGGCCTTTGACAAAATTCAACAACGTTTCATGTTAAAAACTCAATAAATTAGGTATTGATGGGACGTATCTCAAAATAATAAGAGCTGTCTATGACAAACCCACAGCCAATATCATACTGAATGGGCAAAAACTGGAAGCATTCCCTTTGAAAACTGGCACAAGACAGGGATGCCCTCTCTCACCACTCTTATTAAAAATAGTGTTGGAAGTTCTGGCCAGGGCAATCAGGCAGGAGAAGGAAATAAAGGGTATTCAATTAGGAAAAAGGAAGTCAAATTGTCCCTGTTTGCAGATGACATGATTGTATATCCAGAAAACCCCATTGTTTCAGCCCCAAATCTCCTTAAGCTGATAAGCAACTTCAGCAAAGTCTCAGGATACAAAATCAAAGTACAAAAATCACAAGCATTCTTATACACCAATAATAGACAAACAGAGAGCCAAATCATGAGTGAACTCCCATTCACAATTGCTTCAAAGACAATAAAATACCTAGGAATCCATCTTACAAGGGACATGAAGGACCTCTTCAAGGAGAACTACAAACCACTGCTCAATGAAATAAAAGAGGATACAAACAAATGGAAGAACCTTCCATGCTCATGGATAGGAAGAATCAATTTCATGAAAACGGCCATACTGCCCAAGGTAATTTATAGATTCAATGCCATCCCCATCAAGCTGCCAATGACTTTCTTCACAGAATTGGAAAAAACTACTCTAAAGTTCATATGGAACCAAAAAAGAGCCCGCATCACCAAATCAATCCTAAGCCAAAAGAACAAAGCTGGAGGCATCATGCTACCTGACTTCAAACTATACTACAATGCTACAGTAACCAAACCAGCATGGTACTGGCACCAAAACAGAAATATAGATCAATGGAACAGAACAGAGCCCTCAGAAATGACGACGCATATCTACAACTATCTGATCTTTGACAAACCTGACAAAAACAAGCAATGGGGAAAGGATTCCCTATTTAATAAATGGTGCTGGGAAAAGTGGCTAGCCATATGAAGAAAGCTTAAACTGGATCCCTTCCTTACACCTTATACAAAAATTAATTCAAGATGGATTAAAGACTTAAACGTTAGACCTAAAACCATAAAAACCCTAGAAGAAAACCTAGGTGTTACCATTCAGGACATAGGCATGGTCAAGGACTTCATGTCCAAAACACCAAAAGCAATGGCAACAAAAGCCAAAATTGACAAATGGGATCTAATTAAACTAAAGAGCTTCTGCACAGCAAAAGAAACTACCATCAGAGTGAACAGGCAACCTACAAAATGGGAGAAAATTTTTGCAATCTGCTCATCTGACAAAGGGTTAATATCCAGAATCTACAATGAACTCAAACAAATTTACAAGAAAAAAGAAACAACCCCATCAAAAAGTAGGCAAAGGACTTGAACAGACACTTCTCAAAAGAAGACATTTATGCAACCAAAAAACACATGAAAAAATGCTCACCATCACTCGCCATCAGAGAAATGCAAATCAAAACCACAATGAGATACCATCTCACACCAGTTAGAATGGCAATCATTAAAAAGTCAGGAAACAACAGGTGCTGGAGAGGATGTGGAGAAATAGGAACACTTTTACACTGTTGGTGGGACTGTAAACTAGTTCAACCATTGTGGAAGTCAGTGTGGCGATTCCTCAGGGATCTAGAACTAGAAATACCATTTGACCCAGCCATCCCATTACTGGGTATATACCCAAAGGATTATAAATCATGCTGCTATGAAGACACATGCACACGTATGTTTATTGCGGCTCTATTCACAATAGCAAAGACTTGGAACCAACCCAAATGTCCAACAATGATAGATTGGATTAAGAAAATGTGGCACATATACACCATGGAATACTATGCAGCCATAAAAAATGATGCGTTCATGTCCTTTGTAGGGACATGGATGAAATTGGAAATCATCATTCTCAGTAAACTATCACAAGAACAAAAAACCAAACACCGCATATTCTCACTCATAGGTGGGAATTGAACAATGAGAACACATGGACACAGGAAGGGGATCATCACACTCTGGGGACTGTTGTGGGGTGGGGGGAGGGGGGAGGGATAGCTTTAGGAGATATACCTAATACTAAATGATGACTTAATGGGTGCAGCACAGCTGCATGGCACATGTATACATATGTAACTAACGTGCACATTGTGCACATGTACTCTAAAACTTAAAGTATAATAATAATAAAATAAAAAAAATACAAAGGTAAATGAAACAGAAAGCTGGCTCTTTGAGAAAATAAATAAAATTGATGGACCATTAGCAGGATTAATCAAGAAAAGAAGAGAGAAAATCCAAATAGCCTCAATAAGACACAAAATGGGAGATTTTACAACTGACAACACTGAAATACAAAAGATCATTCAAGGCTACTATAAACACATTTTCAAACATAAAGTGAAAAACCTAGAAGCAATGAATAAATTCCTTAAAAAATACAACCCTCCTAGCTTAAATCAGGAAGAATTAGATACTGCGAACAGACCAATAATAAGCAGAGAGATGGAAATGGTAATTTAAAAATTACCAACAAAAAAAAGTCCAGGACCAGATGGATTCACAGCAGAATTTTACCAGGCATTCAAAGAAGAATTAGTACCAATCCTTTTGACACTATTCTACAAGACAGAGAAAGAGAGAATCCTCTCTAATTTATTCTATGAAGCCAACATCACCCTAATACCAAAACTAGGAAAGGACATAACCCAAAAAGAAAATTACAGATTGATATCCATGATGAACATGCTAAAAACCTTAGCAAAATACTAGCTAACTGAATCCAACCACATATCAAAAAGATAATCCACCATGATCAAGTGGTTTTCATACCGGGAATGCAGGGATGGCTTAACATACCTAAGTGAATAAATGTGATACACAACATAAACAGAATTAAAAACAAAAATCACATGATCATCTCAATAGATGAAGAAAAAGCACTTGACAAACTCCAGCATCACTTCAGCATTAAAACTCTCAGCAAAATTGGCATACAAGGATCATACCTCAACGTAATAAAAGCCAGCTGTGACAAACCCAAAGCCAACATAATACTGAATGGGGAAAAGTTGAAAGCATCCCCTCTGAGAACTGGAATAAAACAAGAATGCCCACTCTTACCATTCCTCTTCAACTTACTACTGGAAGTCCTAGCCAGAGCAGTCAGACAAGAGAAAGAAATAAAGGGTCTACTAGTCAGTAAAGTGGAAGTAAAACGATCATTGTTTGCTGATAATGTGATCGTCAAACTTGAAAACCCTAAAGATTCCTCCAGAAAACTCCTAGAATTGTTAAAAAAATTCAGCAGAGTTTCCGGATACAAGATTAATGTACACAAATCAGTAGCTCTTCTATATACCAACAGCAACCAAGCTGAGAATCAAATCAAGAACTCAGGCTGGGCATGGTGGCTCACGCCTGTAATCCCAGCACTTTGGGAGTCTGAGGTGGGTGGATCACTAGGTCAGGAGATTGAGACCAGCCTGGCCAACATGGTGAAACCCCATCTCTACTAAAATACAAAAAAAAAAAAAAATTAGCTGGGCATGGTGGCACTCACCTGTAGTCCCAGCTACTCAGGAGGCTGAGGCAGGAGAATTGCTTGAAATTGGGAGGTGGAGTTGCAGTGAGCCGAGATCACATCACTGCGCTCCAGCCTGGGTGACAGAGCAAGACTCTGTCTCAAAACAAAACAAAACAAAAAAACAAAAACCAAAAACAAAACAACAACAACAAAAAACCCCTTAGGATTATTCCTAAACAAGGAGGCAAAAGACCTCTACAAAGAAAACTACAAAACACTGCTGACAGAAATCATAGATGACACAAACAAATAGAAACACATCCCATGCTCATAAACGGGTAGAATCAATATTGTGAAAATGACCATACGGCAAAAAGCAGTCTACAAATTAACCTATGAAAATAGGCATATAGACCAATGGTACAGAATAGAGAACCCAGAAATGAACCCAAATACTTATAGCCAACTGGTCTTTGACAAAGCAAACAAAAACATAAAGCAGGGAAAGGACACCCTTTTCAACAAATGGTGTTGGGATAATTGGCTAGCCACACATAGAAGAATGAAACTGGATCATCATCTGTCACCTTATACAAACATCAACTCAAGATGTATTAAGGACTTAAATCTAATATTTGAAACTATAAAAATTCTAGAAGATAACATGGGAAAACACTTCTAGACACTGGCTTAGGTTAGGATTTCATGACCAGGAACCGAAAAGCAAGTGCAATAAACAAAGATAAATAGATGGAACTTAATTAATCTAATGAGCTTTTCACAGCAAAAGGAACAGTCAGCAGAGTAAACAGACAACCCATAGAGTGGGAGAAAATCTTCACAATCTCTACATCTGACAAAGGACTAATATCCAGAAGCTACAATGAACACAAATCCACAAAAAATGGGCTAAAGACATGAATAGACAACTCTCAAAAGAAGATATAAATGGCCAACAAACATATGAAAAAATGCTCAACTTCATTAATAATCAGGGAAATGCAAATCAAAAGCACAATGCGATACCAATGCGATGCCTGCAAGAATGGCCATAATAAATAATCTAAAAACAGTACACGTTGGCATGGATGTGGTGATCATGGAACACTTCTACACTGCTGGTGGGAATGTAAACTAGTACAACCACTATGGAAAACAGTGTGGAGATTCCTTAAACAACTAAAAGTAGAACTACCATTTGACCCAGCAATTCCACTACTGGGTAGTTACCCAGAGAAAAAGAAGTCATTATACAAAAAAGACACTCTTACACGCATGTTTATAGCAGCACAATTTGCAATTGCAAAATTGTGAAACCAACCCAAATGCTCATCAATCAATGAATGGATATAGAACCTGTGATATATAAGATGGAATACTACTCAGCCATAAAAAGGAATGAATTAATGACATTTGTGGCTACTGGGATGCAATTGGAGACTATTATTCTAAGTGAAGTAACTCAGGAATGGAAAAGCAAACATCATATGTTCTCACTGATATGTGGGAGCTAACCTATGAGGACGCAAAGGCATAAGAATGACACAATGGACTTTGGGGTCTTGGGGAAAAGTGTGGAAGGGAAATGAGGAATAAAATAATGCAAATAGGATGATAGGTGTATTGAAATCTCACTAATCACCACTAAAGAACTTACATAACCAAATACCACCTGTACCCAAATAACTTATGGAAAAATATAAATAACAAAATAAATAAAGTGGTACAGAATTAGAAAAAACTATTTTAAATTTCATATGGAATCAAAGAAAACCCCATATAGCCAAGACAATCCTAAGCAAAAAAACAAACCTGGAGACATCACGCTACCTGACTTCAAACTATACTACAAGGCCACAGTAACCAAAACAGCATGGTACTGGTACCAAAACAGACATATAGACCAATAGAGCAGAACAGAGAGCTCAGAAATAACACCTCACATCTACAACCATCTGATCTTCTACAAACCTAACAAAAACAAGCAATGGGGAAAGGATCTTTTATTCAGTAAATGGTGCTGGGAATACTGGCTAGCCATATGCAGAAAACTGAAACTGGACCCCTTCCTTACACCTTATATAAAACTTAACTCAAGATAGATTAAAGACTTAAATGTAAAGCCCCAAACCATAAAAACCCTAGAAGAAAACCTAGGCAATACCATTCAGGACATAGGGATGGGAAAAGACTTCATGACAAAAACTCCAAAAGCCATTTCAACAAAAGCCAAAATTGACAAATGGAATCTAGTTAAACTAAAGAGCTTCTGCACAGCAAAAGAAACTATCATCAGAGTTGATAGGCAACATACAGAATGGGAGAAAATTTTTGCAATCTATCCATCTGACAAAGGTCTAATATCCAGAATTTACAAGAAACTTAAACAAATTTACAGAAAAAAACAACACCATAAAAAAGTGAGTGAAGAGCATGAACAGACACTTCTCAAAAGAAGACATTCATGCAGCCAACAAACATAAAAAAAAGCTCAACATCACTGATCATCAGAAAAATACAAATCAAAACCACTATGAGATACCATCTCATGCCATTCAGAATGGTGATTATTAAAAAGTTAGGAAACAATAAATGCTGGTGAGGCTGTGGAGAAATAGGAATGCTTTTACACCATTGGTGGGAATGTAAATTAATTCAATCATTGTGGAAGACAGTGTGGAGATTTTTCAAGGATCTAGAACCAGAAATACAATTTGATCCAGCAATTCCATTATTGGATATATACCCAAAGGAATATAAATCGTTCGACTATAAAGACATATGCGCAAGTGTTTATTGCAGCACTATTTACGATAGCAAAGACATGGAACCAACCCAAATGCCCATCAAAGATAGACTGGATAAAGAAAACGTGGTACACATACACAATGGAACACTATTCTGCCATAAAAAGAAATGATATCATGCCCTTTGCAGGGACGTGGATGAAACTGGAAGCCATCATCCTCAGCAAACTAGCACAGGAACAGAAAACCAAACACAGCATATTCTTACTCGTAAGTGGGAATTGAGCAATGAGAACACGTGGACTCAGAGAGGGGAACAACACACATCAGGGCCTGTTGAGGGGTGGGGCCCGAGGGGAGGGAACTTAGAGGATGGGTCAGTAGGTACAGCAAACCACCATTTCACACGTATACCTATGTAACAAACCTGTACGTTCTGCACATGTATGCAGTTTTTGTTTTTTTGTTTGTTTTTAGAAGAAATAAAAATTTTGAAAAATTCAGTGGTAAATCCAGAGGGGCCACAGCTGGAGCCCTCAGTCAATCTCCTTGTAGCAGGGGATCTGAGTGGCATGTTTATATGGGTGCCATACCTTAATAATACTTGGTACTGCATAATTAACAGATGTTTTAAACAGTGGATTCTCATTTTGCATTCCAGCTCTACATAGCTCTTGCTAACTATATGACCTTGAAAACCATTTCGGTCTCGAGCTTACTTATTGGTAATATGTGAGTGATAATATTTACCATACCTGCTTTAACTCATTTGTATGGATCAAATGAGGTGATAAATTGAAAACTACCATAATGTTGTATAACCACGTAATCCAGTATGGCCTTCTCTAGCCACTTGTGACTACTGTGTTCCTTTTTACTTAAAATATTTTATTTGCCAGATCCTTATTAAATTTGAATTGTAATTTTTAGTATTTGTGCATATTATTATTACTGAGACAGGGATTCACTCTGAACTCCAGGCTGGAGTTCAGTGGTGTGATCATAGTTCACCGTAACCTCAAAATCCTGGGCTCCAGTGATCCTCCTGCCTCAGATTCCTTAGTAGCTAGAAACTACAAGCATATACGACCATGCCAGGCTAATTAAAAAAAAAATTGTAGAGACAGCATCTCACTGTTTTGCCAAGCCTATTCTCAAACTTGTGGTCTCAAGCAATCCTCCTGCCCTCCCAAAGTGCTGTGATTACAAGCATGAGCCACTGTGCCCAGCCTGGGACTATTATTAATATATCTTTTGCTTTGCTTTCATTTTACTATTCTCTATTTTACATATTTTCAGATATCTTTACTGCCTTTGTTTACTACATTGTTCTTTAACTTATACATTTCTTTTCACTTTTATTTTAGTTTCAGTGGTACATATGCACATTTGTTATATAGGTAAATTGCATGTCATGGAAGTTTGATGGACAGATTTATCACCTGGGTAATAAGCAAATAAGCATAGTATCCAATAGGTAGTTGCTTGATCCTCAGCCTCCCCCTACCCTTCACCTTCATGTAGGCCCTGGTGTCTATTGTTATCTTCTTTGTGTCCATACGTACTCAGTATTTAGCTCCCACCCATAAGTAAGAATATGTAGCATTTGGTTTTTTATTCCTGTGTTAGTTTCCTTAGGTCAAAGGCCTCCAGCTCCATCCACGTTGCTGCAAAGAATATCATCTCATTCTTTTTCATGGCTGTATAGTATTTCATGGTGTATATATATTATATAATATATATATATAGTATATATAATATATATTATATATAAAATATATAAAATATATATAAAATATATATATAAAATACATATAAAATATATATTATATTTATAAAATATATATAATATATATAATATATAAAATATATATAATTTATATAATATATATAATATATAAAATATATATAATATATAACATATATAAAATATATATAATATATAATATATATATGAAATATATGTAATATATATAATATATATATGAAATATATGTAATATATATAATATATATAAAATATATGTAATATATATAATATATATAAAATATATGTAATATATATAATATATATGAAATATATGTAATATATATAATATATATAAAATATATATATAAAATATATGTAATATATATAATATATATAAAATATATATATAAAATATATATTATATATAATATATATAAAATATGTATATAAAATATATATTATATATAATATATATAAAATATATATATAAAATATATATAAAATATATATACAAAATATATAATATATAAAATATATATATAAAATATATAATATATAAAAAATATATAATATATAATATATAAAAAATATATAATATATAATATATATAAAATATATATATAAAATATATATATAATATATAATATATATAAAAAATATATATTATATATTATATATATAATATATAATATATATAAAAAATATATATTATATATTATATATATAATATATATATTAAGAAATATATAAAATATATATTAAGAAATATATAAATATATATAGAAATATATATCAAATATATATATAAAAATATGTAAAATATTATTTAAATCAAATCTACCATTCACGGGCATCTATGTTGATTCCATAACTTTGCCATTGTAAATAGTGCCGTGATGAACATGCTTGTGGATGTGTCTTTATGGTAGAATGATTTATATTCCTTCGGTTATATACCCAACAATGGAATTGCTGAGTTTAATGGTACTTCTGTTTTAAGGTGTTTGAGAATTGCCAAACTGCTTTCCACCTTGGCTGAACTAATTTATATCCCTGCCAGCAGTGAATAAGATTTCCTTTTCTCTGCAACCTCATCAGCATCTGTTATTTTTTGACTTTTTAATAATAGCCATTTTGACTGGTGTGAGGTGGTATCTCATTGTGGTTTTGATTTGCATTGCTCTAATGATTAGTGATGTTGAGCATTTTCTCATATGCTTGTCAGTCACATATATGTCTTCTTTTGAAGAGTTTCGGTTCATGTCTTTTGCCCACTTTTTAATGGTGTTGTTTGTTTATCTCTTGAAGATTTGTTTACATTCCTTATAGATTCTGAGTATTAGACCTTTGTCTGATGCATAGTTGGCAAAAATTTTCTCCCATTATGTAGGTTGTCTGTTTACTCTGTTGATAGTTTCTTTTGCTGTGCGTATTAGTTTAATTGGGTCCCATGTGTCAGTTTCTGGTTTTGTTGCAATTGCTTCTGGAGTCTTTGTCATAAAATCTCTGCCAAGGACTATTTCCAGAATAGTATTTTCTAGGTTTACTTCAAGGGCATTTAGAGTTCAATGTCTTACATTTAAGTCTTTAATTAATCTTCAGTTGATTTTTGTATATGGTGTAAGAAAGGCATCCAGTTTCAATCTACTACATATAGCTAGCCAGTTGTCCTGGAACCAATTATTAAATAGGAATTCCTTTCCCCATTACTTGTTTTTTCTATTTTGTCAATGATCAGATTACGGCATTCCGTTGGTCTGTTTTTGTACTAGTACCATGCTGTTTTGGTTGCTGTATCTTCACAGTATAATTTGAAGTCAGGTAGCATAATGCCTCCAGCTTTGTTATTTTTGTTTAGGATTGCTTTGGATATTTGGGCTCTTTGTTGGTTCCATATGAATTTTAGGTTAGTTTTCT
Organism: Homo sapiens; assembly: GCF_000001405.40. Classification (NCBI taxonomy): domain Eukaryota; kingdom Metazoa; phylum Chordata; class Mammalia; order Primates; family Hominidae; genus Homo; species Homo sapiens. The sequence goes on along the minus strand of NC_000023.11, from coordinate 85,743,975 downwards.
GTAGTTCTGCAAAGAATATCATTGGTAGTTTGATAGGTACAGCATTGAACCTGTATATTGCTTTGGAAAGTATGACCATTTTAAGAATATTGATTTTTTCTATCAATGAGCATGGAGTATTTTTCCATTTGTTTGTGTCATTTCTGATGCCTTTCAGCAGTGTTTTGTAATTCTCGTTGTAGAGATCTTTTAACACCCTGGTTAGCTGTATTCCTGGGTATTTTATTTTTGTGTGTGGCTATTGTGAGTGGGATTTTATTCTTGATTCCACACTTAGCTTGGATGTTGTTGATTTATATAAATGCTAATTTTTGTACATTGATTTTGTATCTTGAAACTTTGCTGAAGTTGTTTTTCAGATCTATGAACTTTTGGGAAGAGACCATGGTGTTTTCCTGGTGTAAAATTATGTCATCTGCGCATAGAGATAGTTTGACTTCCTCTCTTCCTCTTTGGATATATTTTATTTCTCTTGCCAGATTTATCTGGCTAGGACTTCCCATAATACGTTGAATAGGAGTGGTGAGAGGGGGTATCCTTGTCCTGTTTTGGATCTTAAGGGGAATGGTTCCAGTTTTTACCTGCTAAGTGTAATGTTGGCTGTGGATTTGTCATGGATGGTTTTTATTATTTTGAATGTTTTCCTCCACTGTCCAGTTTCTTGAGAGTTTTTTTTAACATAAACAGATGTTTAATTTTATTGAAACAATTTTCTGCGTGTATTGATATGATCATGTGTTTAACTCTGTTTATGTGATGAGTCACATTTATTGATTTGTGTATATTAAAACCACCTTGAATCTCAGGAATAAAGGCTACTTGATCATGGGGAATTAGCTTTTTGATCTGCTGCTGCATTCGATTGGCTGGTTTTTTTTTTTGAGGATATTTGCATCAAGGATATTAGCCCAATGTTTTCATTATTGTTGTTGTTGTGCGTTTGCCTAGTTTTGGTATCAGAATGATGCTTGCCTCAGAAAATGAATTAGGGGAGTCCCTACTCCTAAATTTTTGGAATAGTTTCAGTAGGAATGGTACCAGCTCTTTATCTGTTTCATAGAATTATTTATATGTTTCATAGAATTCAGCTGTTTAATCTGTCTTGTCCTGTGCTTTTTATACTGATGAAGGGATGTTGAATTTTATTGACAACCTTTTCTGCATCTACTGAGATAATCATGTGGTTTTCGTCATTGGTTCTGTTTATGTGATGGATTACGTTTATTGATTTGCATATGTTGAACCAGTCTTGCATCCCATGGATGAAGCTGACTAGATCATGTTGGATAAGATTTTTGATGTGCTGCTGGATTCGGTTTGCCAGTATTTTATGGAGGATTTTCACATCGTTGTTCATGAGGGATATTGGCCTGAAATTCTCTTTTTTTGTTGTGTTTCTGCCAGGCTTTGGTATCAGAATGACGCTGGCCTGAAAAAATAAGTTAGGGAGGAGTACCTCTTTTTATGTTGTTTGGAATAGCTTTAGAAGGAATAGTAACAGCTCCTCTTTGTACCTCTGGTAGAATTTGGCTGTGAATCCATCTGGTCCTGGGCTTTTTTTGGTTGTTAGGCAATTTAATAACTGCCTCATTTTCAGGACTTGTTATAAGTCTGTTCAGGCATTTGCCTTCTTCCTGATTTAGTCTTAGGAGGGTGTATGTGTCCAGGAATTTATCCATTATGTCTAGATTTTCTAGTTTATCTGCATAGAGGTGTTTATATTATTCTCTGATGGTAATTTGTATTTCTGTGAGATGAGTGGTGATATCCCCTTTATCATTTTTTATTGTATCTATTTGATTCTTCTCTCTTTTCTTCTTTATTAGTCTATCTAGTCGTCTATTTTGTTAATCTTTTCAGAAAACCAGCTCCTGGATTTGTTGATTTTTTGATGGGTTTTTCGTGTCTCTATCTCCTTCAGTTCTGCTCTGATCTTAGTTATTTCTTGTTTTCTGCTAGCTTTTGAATTTGTTTGCTCTTTATTCTCTAGTTCTTTTAATTGTGATGTTAGGAGGTCGATTTGAAATCTTTCCCACTTTCTCCTGTGGGCTTTTAGTGCTATAAATTTCCCTCTTAACACTGCTTTAGCTGTGCCTCAGAGATTCTAGTCTGTTGTGTCTTTGATCTCATTGGTTTCAAAGAACTTTATTTCTGCCTTAATTTTGTTATTTACCCTATAGTCATTCAGGAGTAGGTTGTTCAATCTCCATGTAGATGTGAAGTTTTGAGTGAGTTTCTTAATCCTGAGTTCTAATTTGATTGCACTGTGGTCTGAGAGACTGTTATGATTTCCATTCTTTTGCATTTGCTGAGGAGCATTTTTGCTTCCAATTATGTGGTCAATTTTAGAATAAGTGCCATGTGGCACTGAGACAAATATATATTCTATTGATTTGGGGCAGAGAGTTCTGTAGATGTCTATTTGGTTCACTTGATCCAAAGCTGAGTTCAAGTGCTGAATATTCTTGTTATTTTTCTGACTTGTTGATCTGTCTAATATTGACAGTGGGGTGTTAAAGTCTCCCACTATTATTGTGTGGGAGTCTAAGTCTCTTCGTAGGTCTCTAAGAACTTGTTTTATGAATCTGGGTGCTCCTGTATCAGGTGCATATATACTTAGGACAGTTAGCTTTTCTTGTTGCATTGACCCTTTACCATTATGTAATGCCCTTCTTTGTCTTTTTTTTTTTTTATCTTTGTTGGTTTAAAATCTGCTTTATCAGAGACTAGGATTGCAATCCTGCAACCACTGCTTTTGTTTTTGTTTTTTTTTTTTTTGCTTTTCATTTGCTTGATAAATATTCCTCTATCCCTTTATTTTGAGCCTATGTGTGTCTTTGCACATGAGATTTGTCTCCTGAATACAGCACACCAATTGGTCTTGACTCTTAATCCAATTTGCCAGTCTGTACCTTTCAATTGGGACATTTGGTCCATTTACATTTAAGGTTAATATTGTTATGTGTGAACTTGATCCTGTCATTATGATGCTGGCTGGTTATTTTGCACATTAGTTGATACAATTTCTTCATAGTGTCATTGGTGTTTATATTTTGGTGTGTTTTTGCTCTGGCTGGTACCAGTTTTGTGTGTGTGTGTATGTGTGTGTGTGTGTGCCTCCTTCAGGAGCTCTTGTAAGGCAGGCCTCAGGGTGACAAAATCAGTCAGGTTTTCCTTGTCTGGAAAGGATTTTATTTCTCCTTTGCTTACAAAGCTTAGTTCGGCTGGATATAAAATTCTGGATTGAAAATTCTTTTTTTAAAGAATGTTGAATATTGGCCCCCACCTTCTTTTGGCTTCTAGGGTTTCTGCAGAGAGATCCACTGTTAGTCTGATGGACTTCCCTTTGTAGGTGACCTGACCTTTCTCTCTGGCTGCCATTAACGTTTTTTCCTTGTTACAACCTTCAAGAATCTGATGATTATGTGTCTTGGAGTTGATCTTCTCGAGGAGTATCTTAGTGGTGTTCTCTGTATTTCCTGAATTTGAATCTTGGCCTGTCTTGCTAGGTTGGGGAAGTTCTCCCAAATAATATCCTGAAGTGTGTTTTCCAACTTGGTTCTATTCTCTCCATCAGTTTCAGGTACACCAATCAATCATAGGTTTGGTCTTTTCACATAGTCCCATATTTCTTGGAGGCTTTGTTTATTCCTTTTTATTATTTTTCTGTAATCTTGTCTTCACACTTTATTTCATCAAGGTGATCTTCAATCTCTGATATCCTTTCTTCTGCATGATCGATTCGGCTATTAATACTTGTGTATGCTTCACAAAGTTCTCATGCTGTGTTTTTCAGCTCCATCAGGTCATTTATGTTTCTCTCTAAACTGGTTATTCTAGTTAGCAGTTCCTGTAACCTTTAATCAAGGTTCTTAGCTTCCTTACATTGGGTTAGAACATGCTCCTTTAGCTCAAATGAGTTTGTTATTGCCCACCTTCTGAAACCTACTTCTGTCAATTCATCAACCTCATTCTCTGTCCAGTTTTATGCCCTTGCTGGAGAGGAGTTGAGATCACTTGTAGAAGAAGAGGCATTCTGGTTTTTTGAATTTTCAGTGTTTTGTGCTGTTCTTTTCTCATCTTCATGGATTTATCTACCTTTGATGTTTGGGGCTGATGAACTTTTGATGAAGTTTTTGTGTGGGGGTCTTTTTTGTTGTTGTTCTTTCTGTTTGTTAGTTTTTCTTCTAACATTTAGGCCCCTCTTCTGCAGGTATGCTTCAGTTTGCTGGAGGTCCACTCCAGACCCTGTTTGCCTGAGTATCACCAGTGGAGGTGATAACAATTGCCGCTTTAAAGTCTATAGCCACACAATCTCTCTTACAGTTTCTGCTTGCATGGTATATATTTTTCCATATTTTTACTTTCAACCTATTTATGTGTTTGAATATAGAGTATCATCTATAGAGCCCATATAGTTGAATCTTGATTTTTTTAATCTTGTTGGACAATCAATGCCTTTTGACTGGAATGTTTAATTCGCTCACATTTATAATTGATATGGTTGGATTCATTTTTGCCATTTTGCCTTTTGTTTTATGTATGTTTCATGTCTTTGCATTATTAATACGTCTTATTGCCTTCTGGTCTCCATTGTTTCTTTTTAGAAATCAGCTGTTAATCTTCTTGTAATGAGTTATTTTTCTCTTGTTCCTTTCAAAATGTTCACTTTTTCTTTGCCCTTGAAAGCTTTCACTATGATGTGTTTGGTGAAGATCTCCTTGAATTTTACCTACTTGCACTTGCAGATCTTTTTAGATGCATAGATTAATGTTCTTCATCAAACTGAGGAAGTTTTTTGCCTTTATGTCTTTTTTTTTTTGCTTCCTTCTCTCCTTTGTTTATTCAAATTATGTGTATATAGGTGCACTTAATTGCATCTTACGTTTCTCTGTGTCTCTGTCGATTTTTTCACTCCCTTTCTTTCTGTTCTTTGGATTGCATAAATCCTCTGATTCTTTCTTCTGAAGCTCACATCTACTGTTGAGGTCCTTTAGTGATTGTATTCTCTTTGGTTATTTTACTTTTAAATTCCAAATTTTCTATTTCATTCTTTTTATAATTTATTTTTCTTTATCTATATTCTATATTTGAAAGATAATTGTCGTTATACTTTTCTTTAATTATTTAAAGATAGTTTCCTTTAGTGTTTTTGAAGTTATTATACCTGCTTTGAAGTCTTTTACTGATAAGTTTGGAACCTGGAGCCTCTCACAGGCAGTTTACATTGGCTGCTTTTGTGTGTGTATTTGGGCCATAGTTTCCTATATCTTTGTATAAGACATTAAAAGAAATCTATTTTCTAAAAGGTCCAGTTTTCAGCAAAACAGGATCTTTCAGAGAATACTTTGTAGCAGCTCCGGATATTGATTTCTCCCCTTGGTTTTTTGCTTATTTATTTAGTGAGTTAGCTAAACTAATTCTGCAGAGGCTTGTGTAGATGGCAGCTGCCACACAGCTAACAAACTCAAGGTAGCAGCTCTCCTACAGCACACGCTGTGTGGGAGAGAGGGACTTTACAGGACTGCATATGTCCCACATGGTGCGAGTTAGAGGTGGGAAAATGGGCACTATCTGCCTGCCACAGTCTTTTGGATATTGACCTTCTTTGCCAGAGCTGAGGAAAAAGGAAACTTCTGATGTCCATTATTTGTGGAAACTTTCCAGGATATTTCTTCCTTCCTAGAGATCTGAGCAAAATGGGGATTTTCACTCTGCTCTTATGCTCTCTTAAATAGTTCTCCCACAAAGAAGAGCTATGGAAGGATGAGTTAAGCCACTACTTCAAATGCCATAGCTTCCCACTGTTCTTGCCAATTTTCCATATATTTTGTTGAAAAAATGATTCTTAATGTATTCTAAGCCTTTTTCTCGATCTGCAGAGGTCATAAATTATTCTCTTTGCTAATTTTGACTGGCTTAGGAGATGACTCTCCATGATATATTTCTCCACTCCCCAACTTCTCACACTAACATTCTTTTTTAAAATTAATTTTAATAACAAATAATAATTGTGTGTATTAATGGGACAGAATGTTATGTGCTGACCTTTGCATACATTGTAGAAAGATTCAGTGAAGTTACTTAACATATCCATTACCTCACCACTTATACATATATTTCTGTGTTGAGAATTTTTTCCAACAGATATATAAAAAAATGCTCAACATCTCTAATCACCATGGAAATGCAAATTGAAACCAAAATGAGATATCACCTCTCATTGGTTAAAATGACTATTTCAAAAAAGTTGAATGATAACAAGTGTTGCCAAGGATATAGAGAATAAACTCTTCTTCACACCACCATTCTTGAAGTCCCATCTCTGCACATAATTTTAAAATGTAGAACCTTAACGAAGACAACTAGTGGGTAACATAGGTCATTACAGGAGATATTAAAGATAAACTACATCAATTTGGGGTATATAAAGGCTGAATGTAATTTGGATTAAAGCAAGAAGAAATATTGTTTGAGTTACTTTCCCACCTTACATTTTGAACAGAAGCACACATTATTCAGTAAATACTATGTTAGCTGCATATCCTTGAACTCCCCAACCTTCAGTAGGTTACTTTTTCTTTTATCTATTATCTGAATGTTTGTAGGAATTTCTCATCTTTTATCAGCTTCTGCCTGCAAGTTCCAAAAATATGTTTTAATAGACATCTATTACATATTTCTTCAGATGGCTGCTTTAGGTTTTTTCTTTAATCGATAATTACTTCTTCACTAAAATATTCTCACTCAAACGTGGACCATTCCTTAATTTACAGCTAATACAAGGCTGTAGCTTTAACTAAATTTTACTATAAGCTTAGAGGTAACAGGTGGAAAATACTATATAGAAAAAGAAAACATACAACTGGATATCAGTTATCAATACCTCATTTATAAGAGTCCCACAATGACCATCTCTCTTTTAGCCTTTTGTCAGCTGCCATGTGCCCTTTCACAAACAGGAGTCTGTTTTGACCAATCCTCTCTCCTAGTTATCCAAACATAACTATTCCTGACTCCAGAAAAGGGAGATGTACCCTAGTCTAAGTTCTATCTAAATTCCTCCTCCAGGATAACTGAGAGTGTTAATATCTGCTTTCTTCAATTGTCCTGCCCTTTTGATCCAAACAAAGCAATAAAATAGTCATATCTTAAATAATATTATGTGTAAGACACTGTCTAGACACCAAACAATCCAGTTTCTTTGCACCATTTTATCCAACATTAGATGAATAAAATACCAGGCCTGCACTCCTCTCACTCTAGGGTCAGGTCTGGTCTTTCTATCTCTTATTAGCAAATAAACAGGGCAAAAAAGATATCTTACCTCGTAAGGGGAAAAAAAACTTTACATATGCAGTTCTGGCTAAATATATATTTAGAAAAGAAAATAAAACCTCTACAATGGAACAGTCTCCTTAAAAATAAAACTAATCTACATTATTAATTAGGATAAACATCTAAAGTTTCTGAATTTGGTTTCATTTCATAATCCAGGACTTCTTCAAGAAAAATAAGAAAGCAGTAGTTACACTACATCTGTCTGACTGAAAAGGTTCAACAAAGATCCCTCTCTCAGGAAAAAGACTAATTCCAATTCTCTCAAGAATGTTCCAGCTTTCCCAAGAATTCAGAAACCATTTATGCTCCCCCAAATTGGATACAACTCAACTAAGTGTTCATCAAAAGCTAATAACTGGGCTAGGCATAGAGGCTCATGCCTATATTCCTAGCATTTGGGGTGCCAAGGTGGGAGAATCGCTTGAGGCCAGGAATTCAAGACCAGCCTGGGCAACATAGCAAGACATCATCTCTGCAAAACATAAAAACAAAAGATCCAGCCTGACGATTTGTACCTGTAGTGACAGTTTCCCAAGAAGCTGAGGCAGGAGGATCACTTAAGCTGAGGAGTATGAGGTTACAGTGAGTACAGTGAGCTATGATCACACCACTGCAGTTCAGCCTGGGCAACAGAGTGAGAACTTGTCTCATTAAAAGAAAAAAAAAATCCACTAAAGCCACTAACCTGCCTCATGCTTTATGTTCATTCCTAATACATTAAATTTGGGTGACATGGAAGAAATTGAAGTTAGAAATAAATAATTCTTGGTGAAGGACTTAAAGATGGCTGTCTGGATATATTAGATACTCCCTTCTCCCACAAGAAAAAAAAAATAGCAGATAATCACACTGCAGCATGTTGCCATTTTTGGCAGACCAGCCCCCACCATACTGCATCCTTCCCTGGGGCTCAGTAGCCTCTTCATCTTCACATCCCTGAATCCCCATTAACATTCCTGGCAAACAGATAATCTGCCAGAAACAAGGCAGGAGCCACTGGCAGTGACTATGCCCTCTATCACAGCAAAGGAACAGCCCTGCATTTTCACCTGCCTCAAGGACAAATTTTACTGCCCACAACCACTGCCATTGCCAGCTACTCTGTGGCCAAGGCATGAGCAAAGCAAGTCCCCCTGCCCAGCGACCTACGTACAGCTGCTCCCATTGAAAGCAGCTCTACCCTCCTCAATAACAGGACTGCAGTGCAGCCACTCCTTCCCTTAACTAAACATTCTGCCAAAAGCCTGGGGATCACCTCACTTGTACCTACAACAGCAGTGCCTTCATGTACCCCTAGGAGGAAAGAAAGTAGGCTGCCTAGGCTTGCTGCACTCATCCTAGTACCCAAGCATGTCGTCCAGGAGCCCATCTCAGTCCAAAATATTTGTACCTAAGCACTCCTGTCAGAGATCTGAGGTAGGGCCCACTCAATCTGCCACTACAACCACAGCTGGCAACCACTTCCCTGCACCAACTGTAAAACTGAGGATTGGACTGTTCAGTCCATTGCAGCCTCTGGTAAAACCACTATAGATTGTTGGGGTCCCAGAGGGTTGTCCCATCACAGCTCCTGCCATTGCTCATGCCATGTCTGCTGCCCAGGGGCTCAAAAATCTTTCCACTACTGCCATTCCTGGAACCCAAGCAAGCAACCTGGAGGCCAAAGAATCACCCTGCATGGACCTGAACATACTGGTGCCATTGTTTGCCACAATGGCGCCCAAGGTCAGCATGCTTGGTCCACTGCTGCCAACCACTGGGTCCTGATGACTGGCTCACCTGCCATCCCAGTCTCCAGTGAAATTTCACCACAGTCTCTATTAACAACCACAGCCTAAGCCACTGAGGAAATTGCATACACCACAAATTCTGTTCACAGCCACATAAATCATACAGAGACTGCACTACTGCATGTGCCGAGGATCAAAGCTAAAGTACTCTACCCAACCAACACCATAGATGCATCTTAGAAAAACTTCTTCCCCTACAAAAGCAAATTCAAAAAATCAAAATGGGCAGATATCAACTTAAGGACACAGGAAAAACAACAACTTAAGGACACAGAAACATGAAAAAGCAAGGAAGTATAACACTCACCCCCAAAAAACGTGGTAATTATCCAGCAACAGAACTCAATCAACTTTTGGTCTTTGATGATGGTGATGTACAGATGGGTTTTTGGTGTGGATGTCCTTTCTGCTTGTTAGTTTTCCTTCTAACAGACAGGACCCTCAGCTGCAGGTCTGTTGGAGTACCCTGCCGTGTGAGGTGTCAGTGTGCCCCTGCTGGGGGGTGCCTCCCAGTTAGGCTGCTTAGGGGTCAGGGGTCAGGGACCCACTTGAGGAGGCAGTCTGCCCGTTCTCAGATCTCCAGCTGCGTACTGGGAGAACCACTGCTCTCTTCAAAGCTGTCAGATAGGGACATTTAAGTCTGCAGAGGTTACTGCTTTTTGTTTGTCTGTGCCCTGCCTCCAGAGGTGGAGCCTACAGAGGCAGGCAGGCCTCCTTGAGCTATGGAGGGCTCCACCCAGTTCGAGCTTCCTGGCTGCTTTGTTTACCTAAGCAAGCCTGGGCAATGGCGGGCGCCCCTCTCCCAGCCTCGCTGCCCCCTTGCAGTTTGATCACAGACTGCTGTACTAGCAATCAGCGAGACTCCGTGGGCATAGGACCCTCCGAGCCAGGCATGGGATACAATCTCGTGGTGCGCCGTTTTTTAAGCCCGTGGGAAAAGTGCAGTATTCGGGTGGGAGTGACCCGACTTTCCAGGTGCCATCCATCACCCCTTTCTTTGACCAGGAAAGGGAATTCCCTGACCCCTTGCACTTCCCGAGTGAGGCAATGCCTCACCCTGCTTTGGCTCGTGCACATTGCGTGCACCCACTGACCTGCACCCACTGTCTGGCACTCCCTAGTGAGATGAACCCAGTACCTCAGATGGAAATGCAGAAATACATCACCATCATCAAAGACCAAAAGTAGATAAAACCACAAAGATGGGGAAAAAACAGAACAGAAAACCTGGAAACTCTAAAAAGCAGAGCGCCTCTTCTCTCCAAAGGAACGCAGTTCCTCACCAGCAATGGAACAAAGCTGGATGGAGAACGACTTTGACGAACTGAGAGAAGAAGGCTTCAGAGGCTCAAATTACTCTGAGCTACTGGAGGACATTCAAACCAAAGGCAAAGAAGTCGAAAACTTTGAAAAAATTAAAAAGAATGTATAACTAGAATAATGAATACAGAGAAGTGCTTAAAGGAGCTGATGGAGCTGAAAACCAAGGCTTGAGAACTACGTGAAGAATGCAGAAGCCTCAGGAGCTGATGCGATCAACTGGAAGAAAGGTTATCAGCAATGGAAGATGAAATGAATGAAATGAAGTGAGAAGGGAGGTTTAGAGAAAAGAGAATAAAAAGAAATGAGCAAAGCCTCCAAGAAATATGGGACTATGTGAAAGGACCAAATCTACGTCTGATTGGTGTACCTGAAAGTGACGGGGAGAATGGAACCAAGTTGGAAAACACTCTGCAGATCCAGGAGAACTTCCCCAATCTAGCAAGGCAGGCCAATGTTCAGATTCAGGAAATACAGAGAACACCACAAAGATACTCCTCGAGAAGAGCAACTCCAAGACACATAATTGTCAGATTCACCAAAGTTGAAATGAAGGAAAAAATGTTAAGGGCAGCCAGAGAGAAAGGTCGGGTTACCCTCAAAGGGAAGCCCATCAGACTAACAGCGGATCTCTCAGCAGAAACCCTAGAAGACAGAAGACAGTGGGGGCCAAAATTAACATTCTTAAAGAAAAGAATTTTCAACCCAGAATTTCATATCCAGCCAAACTAAACTTCATAAGCGAAGGAGAAATAAAATACTTTACAGACAGGCAAATGCTGAGAGATTTTGTCACCACCAGGCCTGCCCTAAAAGAGCTCCTGAAGGAAGCACTAAACATGGAAAGGAACAACCGGTACCAGCCGCTGCAAAGTCATGCCAAAATGTAAAGACCATTGAGACTAGGAAGAAACTGCATCAACTAACGAGCAAAATATCCAGCTAACATCATCATGACAAGATCAAATTCACACATAACAATATTAACTTTAAATGTCAATGGACTAAATGCTCCAATTAAAAGACACAGACTGGCAAATTGGATAAAGAGTCAAGATCCATCAGTGTGCTGTATTCAGGAAACCCATCACATGTGCAGAGACACATATAGGCTCAAAATAAAAGGATGGAGGAAGATCTACCAAGCAAATGGAAAACAAAAAAAGGCAGGGGTTGCAATCTTAGTCTCTGATAAAACAGACTTTAAACCAACAAAGATCAAAAGAGACAAAGAACGCCATTACATAATGGTAAAGGGATCAATTCAACAAGAAGAACTAACTATCCTAAATATATATGCACCCAACACAGGAGCACCCAGATTCATAAAGCAAGTCCTGAGTGACCTACAAAGAGACTTAGACTCCCACACATTAATAATGGGAGACTTTAACAACCCACTGTCAATATTAGACAGATCAATGAGACAGAAACTCAACAAGGATACCGAGGAATTGAACTCAGCTCTGCACCAAGTGGACCTAATAGACATCTACAGAACTCTCCACCCCCAATCAACAGAATATATATTTTTTTCAGCACCACACCACACCTATTCCAAAATTGACCACATATTTGGAAGTAAAGCTCTCCTCAGCAAATGTAAAAGAACAGAAATTATAACAAACTATCTCTCAGACCACAGTGCAATCAAACTAGAACTCAGAAATAAGAATCTCACTCAAAACGGCTCAACTACATGGAAACTGAACAATCTGCTCCTGAATGACTACTGGGTACATAACGAAATGAAGGCAGAAATAAAGATGTTCTTTGAAACCAACGAGTACAAAGACACAACATACCAGAATCTCTGGGACGCATTCAAAGCAATGTGTAGAGGGAAATTTATAGCACTAAATGCCCACAAGAGAAAGCAGGAAAGATCCAAAATTGGCACCCTAACATCACAATTAAAAGAACTAGAAAAGCAAGAGCAAACACATTCAAAAGCTAGCAGAAGGCAAGAAATAACTAAAATCAGAGCAGAACTGAAGGCAATAGAGACACAAAAAACCTTCAAAAAATTAATGAATCCAGCAGCTGGTTTTTTGAAAGGATCAACAAAATTGATATATCACTAGCAAGACTAATAAAGAAAAAAAGAGAGAAGAATCAAATAGACGCAATAAAAAATGATAAAGGGGATATCACATCCGATCCCACAGAAATACAAACTACCATCAGAGAATACTACAAACACCTCTATGCAAATAAACTAGAAAATCTAGAAGAAATGGATAAATTCCTCGACACATACACTCTCCCAAGACTAAACCAGGAAGAAGTTGAATCTCTGAATAGACCAATAACAGGATCTGAAATTGTGGCAATAATCAATAGCTTACCAACGAAAAAGAGTCCAGGACCAGATGGATTCACAGCCAAATTCTACCAGAGGTACAAGGAGGAACTGGTACCATTCCTTCTGAAACTATTCCAATCAATAGAAAAAGAGGGAATCCTCCTTAACTCATTTTATGAGGCCAGCATCATTCTGATACCAAAGCCTGGCAGAAACACAACCAAAAAAGAGAATTTTAGACTAATATCCTTGATGAACATTGATGCAAAAATCCTCAATAAAATACTGGCAAACCGAATCCAGCAGCACATCAAAAAGCTTATCCACCATGATCAAGTGGGCTTCATCCCTGGGATGCAAGGCTGGTTCAATATACGCAAATCAATAAATGTAATCCAGTATATAAACAGAACCAAAGACAAAAACCACATGATTATCTCAATAGATGCAGAAAAGGCCTTTGACAAAATTCAACAACCCTTCATGCTAAAAACTCTCAATCAATTAGGTATTGATGGGACGTATTTCAAAATAATAAGAGCTATCTATGACAAGCCCACAGCCAATATCATACTGAATGGGCAAAAACTGGAAGCATTCCCTTTGAAAACTGGCACAAGACAGGGATGCCCTCTCTCATCACTGCCATTCAACATAGTGTTGGAAGTTCTGGCCAGGGCAATTAGGCAGGAGAAGGAAATAAAGGGTATTCAATTAGAAAAGAGGAAGTCAAATTGTCCCTGTTTGCAGATGACATGATTGTATATTTAGAAAACGCCATCATCTCAGCCCAAAATCTCCTTAAGCTGATAAGCAACTTCAGCAAAGTCTCAGGATAAAAAATCAATGTACAGAAATCACAAGCATTCTTATACACCAACAACAGACAAACAGAGAGCCAAATCATGAGTGAACTCCCATTCACAACTGCTTCAAAGAGAATAAAATACCTAGGAATCCAACTTACAAGGGATGTGAAGGACCTCTTCAAGGAGAACTACAAACCACTGCTTAAGGAAATAAAAGAGGATACAAACAAATGGAAGAACATTCCATGCTCATGGGTAGGAAGAATCAATATCATGAAAATGGCCATACTGCCCAAGGTAATTTACAGACTCAAAGCCATCCCCATCAAGCTACCAGTGCCTTTCTTCACAGAATTGGAAAAAACTACTTTATAGTTCATATGGAACCAAAAAAGAGCCCGCATCGCCAAGTCAATCCTACGCCAAAAGAACAAAGCTGGAGGCATCACAGTACCTGACTTCAAACTATACTACAATGCTACAGTAACCAAAACAGCATGGTACTGGTACCAAAACAGAAATATAGATCAATGGAACAGAACAGAGCTCTCAGAAGTAACGCCACATATCTACAACTATCTGATCTTTGACAAACCTGAGAAAAACAAGCAATGGGGAAAGGATTCCCTATTTAATAAATGGTGCTGGGAAAACTGGCTAGCCATATGTAGAAAGCTGAAACTGGATCCCTTCTTTACACCTTATACAAAAATCAATTCAAGATGGATTAAAGACTTAAACGTTAGACCTAAAACCATAAAAACCCTAGAAGAAAACCTAGGCAATACCATTCAGGACATAGGCATGGGCAAGGACTTCATGTCTAAAACACCAAAAGCAATGGCAACAAAAGCCAAAATTGACAAATGGGATCTAATTAAACTAAAGAGCTTCTACACAGCAAAAGAAACTACCATCAGAGTGAACAGGCAACCTACAAAATGGGAGAAAATTTTTGCAACCTACTCATCTGACAAGGGGCTAATATCCAGAATCTACAATGAACTCAAACAAATTTACAAGAAAAAAACAAACAACCCCATCAAAAAGTGGATAAAGGATATGAACAGACACTTCTCAAAAGAAGACATTTATGCAGCCAACAGACACATGAAAAAATGCTCATCATCACTGACCATCAGAGAAATGCAAATCAAAACCACAATGAGATACCATCTCACACCAGTTAGAATGGCAATCATTAAAAAGTCAGGAAACAACAGGTGCTGGAGAGGACATGGAGAAATAGGAACACTTTTACACTGTTGGTGGGACTGTAAACTAGTTCAACCATTGTGGAAGACAGTGTGGCAATTCCTCAGGGATCTAGAACTAGAAATACCATTTGACCCAGCCATCCCATTACTGGGTATATACCCAAAGGACTATAAATCATGCTGCTATGAAGACACATGCACACGTATGTTTATTGTGGCACTATTCACAATAGCAAAGACTTGGAACCATTCCAAATGTCCAACAATGATAGACTGGATTAAGAAAATGTGGCACATATACACCATGGAATACTATGCAGCCATAAAAAAGGATGAGTTCATGTCCTTTGTAGGGACATGGATGAAATTGGAAATCATCATTCTCAGTAAACTATCACAAGAACAAAAAACCAAACACCGCATATTCTCACTCATAGGTGGGAATTGAACAATGAGATCACATAGACACAGGAAGGGGAACATCACACTATGGGGAGTGTTGTGGGGTGGCGGTGGGGGGAAGGGGGAGGGATAGCATTGGGAGATATACCTAATGCTAGATGACGAGTTAGTGGGTGCAGCGCACCAGCGTGGCACATGTCTACATATGTAACTAACCTGCACAATGTGCACATGTACCCTAATACTTAAAGTATAATAATAAAAGAAAAAAAAAGAAAAAAAAAAAGAACTCAATCAAAAAGAAATTTATGAAATTTCAGAAAAAAAATTCAAAATATTGATACTAAAGAAGCTCAGCAAGATACAATGTAATTCTGAATAATAACACATTAAAATTAAAATGCAATTCAGGATATGAATGAGAAATTTACCAAAGACATAGATATAATAAAGAACCAGATAGAAATTCTGGAACTCAATAATTCATTGAATGAAATACAAAATACAATCAAAAACCTAAAACAGACTACATCAAGCAAAAAAAAAAAAAAAAAAAAAAACTATCTCAGAACTTGAAGACAGATCTTTAGAAATAACCCAGTAAGAGAAAAAAATTTAAAAGAATGAGTAGAAACTAGGCAACATATGGGAAACCATAAAGGGAGCAAATACTTGAATTTTCAATGTTCCAGAAAGTGAAGAGAAAAATAAAGGGTGAGAAAACCTATTTAATGAAATAATAGATGAAATCTACCTGAGTCTAGCAAGAGATTTAAACATACAGATATTGGAGGATACACCAAAGTAGATATACTTTAAAAAGATCGGCTCTGTAGAACATTATAGTAAAACTGTTCAAAGTCAGACAAAGAGAATATTCTAAGAACAGCAATAGAAAAGCATGTGGTCACTTATAAAATAATTCCCATAAGACTAATGGTGGATTTTTCAGCAGAAATT
This sequence comes from Homo sapiens, assembly GCF_000001405.40. Taxonomy (NCBI): domain Eukaryota; kingdom Metazoa; phylum Chordata; class Mammalia; order Primates; family Hominidae; genus Homo; species Homo sapiens. Next base: position 85,727,831 of record NC_000023.11, on the reverse strand, counting down.
TTCAGTGCAGGACAGAATGGGATAATATATCAAAGTGCTGAAAGAGAAAAAAACTGCCAGTCAAGGATACTATGCCCAGCAAAGTTGTCCTTTATATATAATAGAGAAATAAAGCCTTTACCAGACAAACCAAAGCTGAGAGAATTCATCACTACTAGACACGCTTTATAGGAAAAGGTTAGGAATTTCTACATCTGGAAGTAAAAGAATAACTACCATAATGAAAACTTACGGAAATATAAAACCCATTGGTAAAGGAAACACACAAATGAGTATGAGAAAAACTCAAATGTTACCACTACAGAATACCACCAAACCACAATGATAAACAATAAGAGGGAAAGAAAGAGACAAAGGAGGTACAAAACAACCATATATTATTGTTATTATTATTTATTTTATTATTTTTTTGAGATAGAGTTTCGTTGCCCAGGCTGCAGTCCAATGGCACAGTCTCAACTCACTGCAACTTCTGCCTCCTGGGTTCAAGCAATTCTCCTGCTTCAGCCTCCCAGGTAGCTGGGATTACAGGTGCCTGCCACCAAGTCCAGCTAATTTTTTTGTATTTTTAGTAAATATAGGATTTCACCATGTTGTCCAGGCTGATTTCGAACTTGTGACCTCAGATGATCTGCCTGCCTCAGCCTCCCAAAGTGCTGGGATTACAGGTATAATTCACTGTGCCTGGCCAACAACCATATAGTATTGATAAAATGGCAGGCATAATCCCTCACATATCTTTAATAACCTTGAAGATAAATGGTTTAAACTTTCTACTTAAAATACATTGACTAGCTGATTTGATCTGAAAAAAGGCCCAACTGTATGCTGCCTACAAGATATTCCTCTCAACTGTAAAGACATATATACGTTGAAAGTAAAGGGACAGAAGAAGCTATTCCATGAAAATGGAAACCAAAACCAAGCAGGAGCAACTATACTCATATGAAATAAACCATACCTTAAATCAAAAATAATAAAAAGAGACAAAGAAGGTAACTATGTAATAATAAAGGGATTGATTCAGCAAGAGGATATAACAATTCTAAACATATGTGATCCAACACCACAGCACCCAGATACAAAAGGCAAATATTATTAGATCTAACAGGAGAGGTAGACTCCTACACAATAACAGTAGGAAATTCTACACCCCACTCTCAGCATTAGACATATCATCTAGACAGAAAATTAATAAAGAAACATCAAATTGAAACTGTAATTTAGACCAAATGGACCTAACAGACATTTACAGAACATTTCATCCAACAATTACAGAATACATATTCTCATCAGCACATGAAATATTCTCCAGGATAGACAATAGGTTAGAACACAAAATAAAGCTTAAGAATTTAAAAATTAACATCAAATCAAGTATCTTCTTAGACCACAGTGGAGTAAAATTAGAAATCAATGACAAGAAAACCTTTGGAAACTGTACAAATACATGGAAATTAAACAACATGCTCCTGAATGATCATTGAGTAAATGAAGAAGGAAATCAAATAATTTTTTTGAAACAAATGAAAATGGAAACACAGCACACCAAAACCAGTAATATAAAGACAAAGCAGTAAAAGGAAGTCTATAGCAATAAACACCTACATCAAAAAGTAGAAAGATTTCAAATAAAAAACCCAACAATGCACCTCAAGAACTAGACAAGCAGCAACAAACCAAATCCAAAATTAGTAGAAGGAAAGAAATGATAAATATCAGAGCAGGACTAAATGTAGTAGAGATGAAAAAAATAAATACTAAGGATCAACAAGATAAAATGTTGGCTTTCTGAAAAGATAAAGTAAAAAACTAGTCGTTATACCAACCAATAATAAAAGAAGACTCAAAATCAGAAATAAAGGAGACAGTAAAAATGATACCACAGAAATAAAAAAGATCACCAAAGACTATTATGAGCAACTATACACTAACAAGCTAGAGACTGGAGGAAATTGATAAATTCCTGGACACATACAACCTCCCATGACTGGTTCAGAAAGAAGTAGGAATTGGTACAGACGAATAATAAGTAATGAGAATAAATCAGTAATAAAACATCTCCCAACAAAGGAAAGTCCAGGACCAAATGGCTTAACTACCAATTCTACTACATTTTCAGAGAAGTAATACCAATTATCCTTAAACTTTTCCAAAAAAGTGTAGAGGAGGGATTTTTTTCTAAATCATTCTATAAAGCCAGCATTATCTTTATACAAAAACACACAAGGACAGAGCAAAAAAAGAAAACTATGGCCAATATACCTGATAAACATAAACACAATAATTATCAACAAAATACTAGTAAACCAAGTCCACCACATCAAAAAATAATACACCATAATCAAGTGGAATTTCTACACAGGATGGAAGAATTGTTCAACATACACAAATCAATAAATGTGATACATCACATCAACAGTATGAAGATAAAACATATATGATAATCTCAACAGGCACAGAAAAAGCATTTAGCAAATTTCACCATTCTTTTATGATAAAGCTCTTAACAAACTAGACGTAGAAGGAACATACTTAAATATCATAAAGGCTATACATGACAAACACATGGCTGATGTCATACTGAATTGGAACAAGAGAAGAATGCCCATTTTCACCACTCATATTCAACCTACTAGTGGAAGTCCTAGTCAGAGCAATTAAACAAAAGTGAGCAATAAAAGGCATGCAAATCAGAAAAAAGGAAGTCATGTTGTCTTATTTGCAGATTACACAATCTCATATATAGAAAAACCTAAAAAGTCCACCAAATAAACCTCTTAGAACTGATAAATTAATTGAGTAAAATTTCAAAATACAAAACCAATGTACAAAAATCAGGAGTGGTTCCATTCACCAACAACAAACTAGCTGAGAAGGAAATTAAGAAGGCAATCTCATTTACAATAGCTACAAAAAAATAAAATACCTAGGAATAAATTCAACCAAGAAGGTGAAAGATGTCTATAAGGAAATCTACAAAGCATTGATAAAGTAAGTTGAGGAGGACACAAACTAATAAAAATGCATCCCATGCTAATGGATCAGAAGAATTAACATTATTAGAATGACCATACTGCCCAAAGCAATCTACAGATTCAATGAAATCCCTATCAATGTCATTTTTCAAAGAAATAGAAAAAAAATTCTAAAATTTGTAAGTAAAAATGAGCCTGAATAGGCAAAGTAATCTTGATCAAAAAGAACAAAGCTGAAGGCATCATACTACCTGACTTCAAAATAACCAAAACAGCATTGTATTGATATAACAACAAACACATAGACCAACGAAACAGAATAAATAATCCATAAATAAATCCATGCATTTATAGCCAACTGATTGTTGACAAATATGCCAAAACATACATTGGGGAAGCAACACCCTCTTCAATAGATGGTGCTGGGACAATTGGATATCCATATATGGAAGAATTAACCTGGGCCCCTGTCTCTCACCATATACAAAAGTCACCTCAAGATATATTAAAAACATAAATATAAGACCCAAAACTATAAAACCACTAGAAGAAAACATAGGGGAAAGATTTTTGGACATTAGTCTAGGCAAAGATTTTATGGGTAATACCTCAAAAGCACAGACAACAGCAAAATAGACAAATGAGACTATCTTAAACTAAAAAGCTTCTGTATCACAAAGGAAACACTAGGTGAAAAGACAACCTGTAAAAAGGGAGAAAATATTTGCAAGCTATTTATCTAACAAGAGACAAATATCCAGAATATACATGAAATTCAAACAACTCAACATTAAAAAACAAAGCCCAAATAGTTTGATTAAAAAGTGGGCAAAGCCATCCGGGAGGTGAGGGGCGCCTCTGCCCGGCTGCCCCTACTGGGAAGTGAGGAGCCCCTCTGCCCAGCCAGCCGCCCCATCCGGGAGGGAGGTGGGGGGGTCAGCCCCCCGCCCGGCCAGCCGCCCCGTCCGGGAGGGAGGTGGGGGGTCACCCCCCGCACGGCCAGCCGCCCCATCCAGGAGGTGAGGGGCGCCTCTGCCAGGCCGCCCCTACTGGGAAGTGAGGAGACCCTCTGCCCGGCCACCACCCCGTGTGGGAGGTGTACCCAACAGCTCATTGAGAACGGGCCATGATGACAATGGCGGTTTTGTGGAATAGAAAGGGGGGAAAAGTGGGGAAAAGATTGAGAAATCGGATGGTTGCCATGTCTGTGTAGAAAGAGGTAGACATGGGAGACTTTTCATTTTGTTTTGTGCTAAGAAAAATTCTGCTGCCTTGGGATCCTGTTGATCTGTGACCTTACCCCCAACCCTGTGCTCTCTGAAACATGTGCTGTGTCCGCTCAGGGTTGAATGGATTAAGGGTGGTGCAAGATGTGCTTTGTTAAACAGATGCTTGAAGGCAGCATGCTCGTTAAGAGTCATCACCACTCCCTAATCTCAAGTACCCAGGGACACAAACACTGCGGAAGGCTGCAGGGTCCTCTGCCTAGGAAAACCAGAGACCTTTGTTCACTTGTTTATCTGCTGACCTTCCCTCCACTATTGTCCTGTGACCCTGCCAAATCCCCCTCTGTGAGAAACACCCAAGAATGATCAATAAAAAATAAATAAATAAATAAATAAATAAATAAATAAATAAATAAATAAAGATTGAACTGGGAAGAAATTAAGCTAGGCAGCAGGAACAATCAGGTCAGAATGCCAAACATCTGTGCTGAACACAGCTACTACTAACCAAATGCTCACTCCAATGGAGACCCAGCCTCCCCTTCCCTACATCTGTTATTAAGTCTCGACTCTTGAGTACCTGTTTTCAATATGTGTGATAAAATGGGAAGTACATGTGAAGTTTTCCTCCTGCATTCTGAAATACAAGTTGCCTCAAGAAAAAAAAAAAAAAAAAAAGTGGGCAAAGGTTATGAATAGACATTTCTCAAAAAAAAAGACATACAAATGGCCAACAGGTGTATAAAAAATGCTCGACATTACTAATCATCTGAGAAATGCAAATCAAAACTATGATGAGGTATTATCTTAGAAATGTCTATTATTATAAAGACAAAAATAACATGGTGGTGAGGATGTGGAGAAAAGGGAACTCTTACTCCCTTTGGTATAAATTTAAGTTAGTACAGCCACTATGGAAGACAATATTAATATTTTTTAAAAAACTAAAAATAGAACTACCATACCATCCAACAATCCCACTACTGGGTATAAATCCAAAGGATAAAAAATAAGTATATCAAAGTTTTATCTGTATTCGCATGCTTATTGCAGCACTTTTATGGTAGCAAATATGTGAAATCAACCTAAGAGTCCATCACCAGACGAATGGATAAAGAAAATTATATATATATGCAATAGATTTATATATAATATAATATGTAATAACTATATATATATACATATATATGCAATGAAATACTATTCAGCCAGAAAAGGAATGAAATCATGGCATTCGCAGCAACTAGAGGTTGTTATGTTAAGCAAAATATGCTGGCCGTAGAAAGACAAACATTGCATGTTCTCACTCATACGTGGGAGCTTTAAAAGGTGATCTAATGGAGGTAGAGAGTAGAATGATAGATATCAGAGGCTGAGAAGGGTGTTTAGGTGGCCGGGGGCGGGGGGGATGAAGAGAGGTTGGTCAATGGGCACAAACATACAGTTAGATGAAAGGTGTAAGTTATAATGTTCAATAGCAGAGTAGGGTGACTATAGGTTAGCAACAATGTATTGCACATTTCATAGAAGCTAGGAGAAAGAACTTGAAATATTCCCAACATATAGACATGATAAATAGTCCAGGTGATGAATACCTCAAATACTCTGACTTAATCATTCCATATCCCATATATGTAACATAATATCACATATTTGTAGTATGTATGTATTTGTAGTTTGTATATGGATCTGAAGAAATTTCTAAGGTGAACAAATATATTATTCCTCAACTTCAAAAAGCTCTGGACAGTTTTGGGTGAAATTACTCATTTTTACCATTAGATTTAACCATGCTCTATTATCACATATAGTTGAGAAGAATAAGAAGACTTAGGATGTTTCCACTTCAAGAGTACTCTTTAGGATCTTTCCAAAGCCTCGGTCATCTTTAGAGTATGATAGAAAGGGTAATTGAGAATTAAAATTACTTAGAGATCATCACATATCTAATTGAATTTGTAAGGACTTTGAAAGGAGATTATAATTAAATCCTTCAGATGGTAGATATCATTGTAAGGAGATAGATTTAAAAATACACCTTGATAAATGTCAATTTTGCTTCAAGTTTCTAATAAGGATACATATTGTCTCAGTAAAGAGCACAGAGCCAGAAAAGCTTTGTTCATTCACCCACTGATCTCATAGTGCCAACTTTAAAGAATCAAAGGCATTTAACAATATTATAGCATTAAAAAAAGAGACTGAACCCAGATTCTGAGCCTCTGACTGATTCAAATCAAAGTTATTATATTAAAGCCAGGATCTCCTACTAGAGGGCTGATGGCTTGAGGCATGGGCACTAACTAAGATAGGGTGGTACCCACTCCTTGGGCTGCATATTAACATTTACTAATTCTAGTAAGTTATTTTATTTTATTTTATTACACCTGGCTAAGTTTATTTTTTTTTTTAAATAGAGGTATGGTCTCACTTTGATGCTCAGGCTGGTCCCCAAATCCTAGGCTCAAGCGACCCTCTTGCCTTGGCCTTCCAAATTGCTGGGATTACAGGCGTGAGCTACTGTGTATGGCCAACAGTAAGTGTTTAATAATTCATCCTGACTTCCATTGGAAAGGCTTTGCGGTAGATGATATCAAGATTATAGAAAGAATAAACTTTATATCTCTTATTTTTCTTCTTCCTCCTCCTCCTCTTCTTCTTCTCCCTCTCCCTCTCCCTCTCCCTCTCCTTCTCCTTCTCCTTCTCCTTCTTCTTCTTCTTCCTCTCCTGCTCCTTCTCCTTCTTCCCATTCTCTCCTCCTCCTCCTCTTCCTCTTTCTCCTCCTCCTGGAACAGACCAATAAAAATTAACGAAAGTGAATCAATAGTCAACTAATTCCAGCAAAAAAAAAAAAAAAAAAAAAAAAAAATGCAGGACCAGATGGCTTCACTGGTGAATTCTACTAAACATTTAAACAAAGATTGAACATTAATACTTATACTTTCAAATAACATAAGAGGAGGAAGCACTTCAAACTCATTTTATGAGGTCAGCATTACCTTGATAGCAAAGCCAGACAAAGACACCACAAGAAAAATGTAGATAGTCATTGACTTACAATAGTTCAACTTATAATTTTTGGACTTTACAATAGTGCAAAATGATGTGCATTCAGTAGAAGCCATACTTCAAAATTTGAAGTTTTATCTTTTCTTGGGCTAGTGGTATGCAGTACAATACTTTCTTGTGCTGCATCAGTGAGCCACAGCTCCCAGTCAGCCACACGATCATGAAGGTAAAATAGCTTATCCTCTACAGTATAGTGTGTTGCCAGAAATTTTGCTCAACTGTAGGCTAATATAATTATACTGAGCACATTTAAACTAAGCTAGATGAAGCTATAATGTTCAGCAGGTCAAGTGTATTAAATGTATTTTCACTTGTAATATCTTCAATTTATGATTGGTTTATCAGGACATAACCACACTGTGCAGGACAATATCCCTGATGAACATAGATGGGGACATTCTCAACAAAATATTTTTTAAATTATACTTTAAGTCATAGGATACATGTGCAGAACGTGCAGGTTTGTTACATAGGTATATATGTGCCATGGTGGTTTGCTGCACCCATCAACCCCTCATTTACATTAGGTATTTCTCCTAATGCTATCCCTCCCCTAGCCCCTCACCCTCGGACATGGTTCGGTGTGTGATGTTCCCCTCCCTGTGTCCATGTGTTCTCATTTTTCAACTCCCACTTATGAGTGAGAACAAGTGGTGTTTGGTTTTCTGTTCCTGTGTTAGTTTGCTGAGAATGATGGTTTACAGCTTCATCCATGTCTGCAAAGGACATAAACTCATCCTTTTTATGGCTGCATAGTATTCCATTGCGTATATGTGCCACATTTTCTTTTTCCAGTCTATCATTGATGGGCATTTGTGTTGGTTCCAAGTCTTTGCTATTTTGAATAGTGCTGCAAAAAACATATGTGTGCCTGTGTCTTTATAGTAGAATGATTTATAATCCTTTGGGTATATATAGCCAGTAATGGGATTGCTGGGTCCAATGGTATTTCTGGCTCTAGATCCTTGAGGAATTGCCATGCTATCTTCCACAATGGTTGAACTAATTTACACTCCCACCAACAGTGTAAAAGTGTTCCTATTTTTCCACATCCTCTCCAGCATCTGCTGTTTCTTGACTTTTTAATAATCACCCTTTTAACTGGCGTGAGATGGTATCTCACTGTGGTTTTGATTTGCATTTCTCTGATAACCAGAGATGATGAGCTTTTTTTTCAAATGTTTGTTGGCCACGTATATGTCTTCTTTTGGGAAGTGTTTGTCCATATCCTTTGCCCACTTTTGGTTGGGTTGTTGTTGTTTTTTTTTTTAAATTTTTTTTGTAAATTTTTTTAAGTGTCTTGTAGATTCTGGATATTAGCCCTTTGTCAGATGGATAGATTGCAAAAATTTTCTCCCATTCCGTAGGTTGCCTACTAACTCTGATGATAGTTTCTTTTGCTGTGAAGAAGCTCTTTAGTTTAATTATATCCCATTTGTCAATTTTGTCTTTTGTTGCCATTGCTTTTGGTGTTTTAATCATCAAGTCTTTAATGTCCTCAATGGTATTGACTAGATTTTCTTCTAAGGTTTGTATGGTTTTAGGTCTTACATTTAAGTCTTTAATCCATCTTGAGTTAATTTTTGTATGAGGTGTAAGGAAGGGATCAAGTTTCATTTTTCTGCTTATGGCTAGCCAGTTTTCCCAACACCGTTTATTAAATAGATAATCCTTTCCCCATTGCTTGTTTTTGTTAGGTTGTCAAAGATCAGATGGTTCTAGATGTGTGGCATTATTTCTGAGACCTCCATTCTGTTCCATTGGTCTATATATGTGTTTTGGTACCAGTACCATGCTGTTTTGGCTACTGTAGCCTTGTAGTATAGTTTGAAGTCAGGTAGTGTGATGTCTCCAGCTTTGTTATTTTTGCTTTGGATTGTCTTGGCTATAGAGGCTCTTTTTTGATTCCATATGAAATTTAAAGAAGTTTTTTTCTAGTTCTGTGAAGAAAATCAATGGTAGCTTCATGGGGATAGCATTGAATCTATAAATTACTTTGAGCAGTATGGCCATTTTCATGATCCTAATTATTTCTATCCATGAGCATGGAATGTTTTTTCATTTGTTTGTGTCCTCTCTTATTTCCTTGAGCAGTGGTTTGTAGTTTTCCTTGAGGAGGTCCTTCCCATTTCTTATAGGTTGTATTCCTAGGTATTTTATTGACTTTGCAGCAATTGTGAATGGGAGTTCACTCATTATTTGGCTCTTTGTTTGTCTGTTCTTGGTGTATAGGAGTGCTTGTAATTTTTACATAGATTTTGTATCCTGAGACTTTGCTGAAGTTGCTTATCAGCTTAAGGATATTTTGGGCAGAGATGATGGGGTTTTCTAAATATAAAATCATGTCATCTGCAAACAGAGACAATTTGACTTCCTCTTTTCCTATTTGAAATCCCTTTATTTCTTTCTCTTGCCTGATTGTCCTGGCCAGAACTTCCAATACTACTTTGAATAGGAGAGGTGAGAGAGGGCATCCTTGTCTTGTGCATCCAGAGAAAGGTCGGGTTACCCACAAAGCAAAGCCCATCAGACTAATGACAGATCTCTCTGCAGAAACTCTACAAGCCAGCAGAGAGCGGGGACCAATATTCAACATTCTTAAACAAAATAATTTTCAACCCAGTGTTTCATATCCAACCAAACTAAGCTTCCTAAGTGAAGGAGCAATAAAATCCTTTACAGACAAGTAAATGTTGAGAGATTTTGTCACAATCAGGCCTCCCTTACAAGAATTCCTGAAGGAAGCACTAAATATGGAAAGGAAAACTGGTACCAGCCACTACAAAAACATACCAAATTGTAAAGACCATGGATGCTATGAAGAAACTGCATCAACTAATGGGCAAAATAACCAGCTAGCATCATAATGATAGGATCAAGTTCACACATAACAATATTAACCTTAAATGTAAATGGGTTAAGTGTCCCAATTAAAAGATACAGACTGGCGAATTGGACAAAGATTCAAGACCTGTTGGTGTGCTGTGTTCAGGAGACCCATCTCACGTGCAAAGACCCACATAGGCTCAAAATAAAAGGATGGAGGAATATTTACTGAGCAAAAGGAAAGCAACAAAAGCAGGGGTTTCAATCCTAGTCTCTGATAAAACAGACTTTAAACAAACAAAGAGCAAAAAAGACAAAGGGGGACATTACATAATGGTAAAGGGATCAAAGCAGCAAGAAGACCTAACTATCCTAAATATATATGTACCCAATACAGGAGGACCCAGATTCATAAAGCAAGTTCTTAGAGACCTTCAGAGAGACTTAGACTCCCACACAACAATAATGGGAGACTTTAACACTGCACCATCAGTATTAGACAGATCAACAAGACAGAAAATTAACAAGGATATTCAGGACTTGAACTCAGCTCTGAACCAAGCAGAACTAATAGACATCTACAGAACTCTCCACCCTAATCAACAGAATATACATTCTTCTCAGCACCACATCGCACTTATTCTAAAATAGACCACATAATTAAAAATAAAACACTCCTTAGCAAACACAAAAGAATAGAAATCATAATAGTCTCTCAGACCACAGTGCAATCAAATTAGAACTCAAGATTAAGAAACTCACTCAAAAGGACACAACTACATAGAAACTGAACAACCTGCTCCTGAATGACTACTGGGTAAATAATGAAATTAAGGCAGAAATAAATAAGTTCCCTGAAAGCAATGAGAACAAAGACACAATGTACCAGAATCACTGGGACACAGCTAAAGCAGTGTTTAGAGGGAAGTTTATAGCACTAAATGCCCACAGGAGAAAGTGGAAAAGATCTCAAATTGACACCCTAATATCACAATTAAAAGAACTAGAGGAGCAAGAGCAAACAAATTCAAAAGCTAGCAGAAGACAAGAAATAAGTAAGAACAAAGCAAAACTGAAGAAGATAGAGACACGAAAAACCCTTCAAAAAATCAATGAAGTGAGGAGTTTGTTTTTTGAAAAGATTAACAAAATAGATAGATCACTAGCCAGACTAATAAAAAAGAGAAAAGAATAAAATAGACACAATAAAAAATGATAAAGAGGATATCACCACTGATCTCACAGAAATACAAACTATCATCAGAAAATGCTGTAAACACCTCTATGCAAATAAACTAGAAAATCTAGAAGAAATGGATAAATTCCTGAACACATATACCCTCCCAAGAATATACTAGGAAGAAGTGGAATCCCTGAATAGACCAATAACAAGCTCTGAAATTGAGGCAGTAATTAATAGTCTACCAACAAAAAAAAGCCCAGGACCAGATGGATTCACAGCGGAGTTATACCAGAGGTACAAATAGGAGTTGGTACATTTCTTCTGAAAACATTCCAAGCAATAGAAAAAGAGGGAGTCCTCCCTAACTCTTTTTATGAGGTCAGCATCATCCTGATATCAAAACCTGGCAGAGACACATCAAAAAAAGAAAATTTCAGGCCAACATCCCAGATGAATATCAATGCAAAAATCCTCAGTAAAATACTGGCAAATCGAATCCAGCAGCACATGAAAAAGCTTATCCACCATGATCAAGTGGCTTCATTCCTGGGATACAAGGCTTGTTCAACATATGCAAATCAATAAACGTAATCCATTGGATAAACAGAACCAATGACAAAAACCACATGATTATTTCAATAGATGCAGAACAGGCCTTTGATAAAATTCTACATCCCTTCATGCTAAAAACTCTCAATAAACCAGTTATTGATGGAACGTATCTCAAAATAATAAGAGCTATTTATGACAAACTCAGAGCCAATATCATACTGAATGGGCAAAAGCTGGAAGCATTCCCTTTGAAAATCAGCAAAATATTCACAAATCCAATTCTTCAGCACATTAAAAAGATCATACACCAAGATGTAGTGGGATTTATCCCTGAGATACAAAGATGGTTTAAAATATGCAAGTCAACATATGTAATACATTACATTAACAGAAGAATAAAAATTATATAATCATCTCAAAAGTTGCTGAAAAAGCATTTAACAAAATTTAACATCCTTTCATGTTAAAAATTTTCAATAAATTAGGTAAAGAAAAATAGCTAAAGAAAAATAAGTACCTCAACACAATAAAGTCCATATATGAGAAGCCTACATCTACCATCATACTCACAATGAAAAGCTGAAAGTTTTTCCTCTAAGATAAAAGGAACAAAGCAAAGATGCCCACTCTTGCCACTTCTATTAAATACACTACTGAAAGTCCTTGCCAGAGCAATAAGGCAGGAAAAAGGAATAAAAGCTATCTAAAGTAAAAAGTCAGAAGTGAAATTATCTCTGTTTGCAGAGGACATGATCTTATATGTAGACAACTCTAAAGATCCCCAAACAGCAAACTATTCAAACTAATAAATGAACTTGGTAAAGTTGGAGGATACAAAATCAACATAGAAAAATCAGTAGTGTTTCTACACACTAAAAATAAACTCCCCAAATAGAAATTCAGTAAATAGTCCAATTTACTATAGCATCCAAAGAAGCAAAATACACAGGACTAAACATAACCAAGGAGGTGAAAGACTTGTACAATAAAAATTACAAAACAAAGATGAAATAAATTACAGAATACATAAATAAATGCAAAGCCATATCTTGCTCATAAATTGAAATAACATTATTAAAATAGCCATATTACCAAAAAGAGTGTACATGTTCAATGTTATCTCCATTAGTATTCTAAAAGCATTTTTAAGCAGAAATAGAACAAACAATATTACAATTTGTATGAATTCAAAAACGATCTCAAATAGCAAAAGCAATCTTGAGAAAGAAGAATAAAGCTGGAGGTAACACACTTCCTAATTGTCAAATATATTACAAACCTACAGTAATTAAAACCATATGATACAGGCATAAAAACAGACATATAGACAAATGAAACAAGTTAAAGAGTCCAGAAATAAACCAACACATGTACAATCAACTAAAACTTGATAAGAGTGCCAAGATAACTGCACAATGGGCAAAGTATAGTCTCTTGAACAAATAGTGCTGGGAAAATTGGATATCAACATGCAAAAGGATAAAAGTCAACCCTTATCACATACCATACATAAAAATCAACTGTAAATGGTTTAAAAACTTAAACTTGTAACCTGAAACTAAAACTTTTACAAGAAAACGGGGAAAAATCATCTTGACCTTGGTCTTAGCAGTGTTTTATTTGGATATGACATCAAAAGCACAAACAACAAAAACAAAAATAAACAAGTGGGACAACATGAACTAAAACTTCTACACAGCAAAAGAAACAATAAACAGAGTGAGAAGGTAACTAATGGAATGGGAGAAAATATTTGCAACATATATAACTGATGAGTGGTTAATATCTAACATATATATGGAGCTACTACAACTCAATAGCAAAAGAAAAAATAAACATGATTAAAAAGTGGGCAAAAGACTTGAACAGACATTTCTCCAAAGAAGAAACACAAATCACCAACAGATATATGAAAAGGTCCTGAATGGTATTGCCTAGGTTTTTTTCTAGGGTTTTCTAGGTTTAAGTCTTTAATCCATCTTGAATTAATTTTTGTATAAGGTGTAAGGAAGGGATCCAGTTTCAGCTTTCTAAATATGGCTAGCCAGTTTTCCCAGCACAATTTATTAAATAGAGAATCCTTTCCCTATTTCTTGTTTTTATCAGGTTTGTCAAAGATCAGTTGGTTGTAGACGTGTGGTATTATTTCTGAGGGCTCTGTTCTGTTCCATTGGTCTATATCTCTGTTGTACTGGTACCATGCTGTTTTGATTACTGTAGCCTTGTAGTATAGTTTGAAGTCAGGTAGCATGATGCCTCCAGCTTTGTTCTTTTGGCTTAGGATTCTCTTGGCAATGCGGGCTCTTTTTTTGGTTCCATATGAACTTTAAAGTAGTTTTTTCCAATTCTGTGAAGAAAGGCATTGGTAGCTTGATGGGGATGGCATTGAATCTATAAATGACCTTGGGCAGTATGGCCATTTTCACAATATTGATTCTTCCTACCCATGAGCATGGAATGTTCTTCCATTTGTTGGTATCCTCTTTTATTTCATTGAGCAGTGCTTTGTAGTTCTCCTTGAAGAAGTCCTTCACATCCCTTGTAAGTTGGATTCCTAGGTATTTTATTCCCTTTGACACAATTGTGAATAGGAGTTCACTCATGATTTGGCTCTCTGTTTGTCTGTTATTGGTGTATAGGAATGCTTGTGATTTTTGTACATTGATTTTGTATCCTGAGACTTTGCTGAAGTTGCTTATCAGCTTAAGGAGATTTTGGGCTGAGACGATGGGGTTTTCAAAATATACAATCATGTCATCTGCAAACAGGGACAATTTGACTTCCTCTTTTCTAATTGAATACCCTTTATTTCTTTCTCCTGCCTGGTTGCCCTGGCTGGAACTTCCAACACTGTGTTGAATAGGAGTGGTGAGAGAGGGCATCCTTGTCTTGTGCCCGTTTTCAAAGGGAATGCTTCCGGTTTTGCCCATTCAGTATGATATTGGCTGTGGATTTGTCATAAATAGCTCTTATTATTTTGAGATACGTCTTCAGGACATAGGCATTGGCAAGGACTTCTTGACTAAGACACCAAAAGCAATGGCAACAGAAGTCAAAATTGACAAATGGGATCTAATTAAACTAAAGAGCTTCTGCACAGCAAAAGAAACTGCCATCAGAGTGAACAGGCAACCTACAGAATGGGAGAATATTTTTACAATCTCCTCATCTGACAAAGGGCTAATATCCAGAATCTACAATGAACTCAAACAAATTTACAAGAAAAAAATCAAACAACCCCATCAAAAAGTGGGAAAAGGATATGAACAGACACTTCTCAAAAGAAGACATTTATGCAGCCAACAGACATATGAAAAAATGCTCATCACCACTGGCCATCAGAGAAATGCAAGTCAAAACCACAATGAAATACCATCTCACACCAGTTAGAATAGCGATCATTAAAAAGTCGGGAAACAACAGATGCTGGAAAGGATGTGGAGAAATAGGAACACTTTTGCACTGTTGGTGGTACTGTAAACTACTTCAGCCATTGTGGAAGACAGAGTGGCGATTCCTCAAGGATCTAGAACTAGAAATACCATTTGATGCAGCCATCCCATTACTGGGTATATACCCAAAGGATTATAAATCATGCTGCTATAAAGACACATGCACATGTATGTTTATTGTGGCACTATTCACAATAGCAAAGACTTAGAACCAACCCAAAAGTTCATCAATGATAGACTGGATTAAGAAAATGTGGCATATATACAGCATGGAATGCTATGCAGCCATAAAAAAGATGAGTTCATGTCTTTGGAGGGACATGGATGAAGCTGGAAACCATTATTCTGAGCAAAATATCGCCAAGGACAGAAAACCAAACACTGCATGTTCTCACTCTTAGGTGGGAACTGAACAATGAGAACACTTGGACACAGGGTGGGGAACATCACACACTGGGGCCTGTCGTGGGGTGGGGGGAGGGGGAGGGATAGCATTAGGAGATATACCTAATGTAAATGATGAGTTAATGGATGCAGCACACCAACATGGCACATGTGTGCATATGTAACAAACCTGCACATTGTGCACATGTACCCTAGAACTTAAAGTATAATAATAATAATAATAATAATAATGATGATATATGAAAAGGTGCTCAACATCACTAATCATCAGGGAAATGCAAATAAAACCATAATCAAATATTACTTCACACCCATTAAGGTGGCAACTATTAGGAAAAAGGAAAACACAACTACGAAATAACAATCATTGAAGAGGACATGGAGAAATTGGAACCCTTGTGCACTGTTGGTGGGATGGTGAAATGGTGCAGCCACTATCAAAAACATATGGAGGTTCTTCAAAAAATTAAAAATGGAACCACCATATAATCCAGGAATCCCACTTCTGGGTATATATCCAAAGGGTTTGACATCAATATGTTGAAAGGATATCTGCACCTCCAAGGTCATTAAAATATTATTCACAGTATTTATGGTAGCCAAGATATGGAATCAATCTAACAGTCCACTGATGGATGAGTGGATAAAGAAAATGCATTATATATATATATATATGATGGAATATCATTCAAATTTTAAAAAGAAGAAAACCTTGCTATATCTGACAATGTGGTTAACCTGGAAGACATTATGCTAGATGAAATAAGTCAGTTACGGGCAAATATTACATGATTCCACTTATAGGAGGTATCTAAAATAGCCAAATTCAGAAATGAAAAGTACACTAGTGGTTTCCAGAGACTGGTGGAAGAGGAGTTCTTGTTCAACGGTAGGATATTTCAGTTATGCAAGATGAATAAAGTCTTATAAATCTGTTGTACAGCATAGTAACTAATTTAACAATACTGTATTGTTTTATATTTTTAATTTTTGTCAGTACATAGTAGGTATATACTTGTGGGATATGTGGGTTGTTTTAATAAATGCTTGAAATGTGAAATAAGCACATCATAGTGAATTGGGTATCCATCCCCTCAAGGCTTTATCCTTTGAGTTACAAAGAATCCAAGTATTTCTTTAAGTTATTTTAAAGTGTACAATTATTACTGACTATAGTCCCCCTATTGTGTTATCAAAGAGTAGGTCTTATTCATTATTTCTATTATTTGTACCCGTTAACTATCTCTACCTCCCCCCAGCCCCCAACTACCTTTATCAGCCTCTGATAGACATCTCTCTATGTCCACGGGTTCAATTGTTTTCATTTTTAGATACCACAAATATGTGAGAATATGTGATGTTTGTCTTTCTCTGCCTGGCTTATTTCACTTAACATTATGATCTCCAGTTCCATCCATGTTGTTGCAAATGAATGCATCTCATTTTTTTATGGCTACCAGTTTTTCTGTATCCATTTATCTCTTGAAAACGTACATTGCTTCCAAGTCTTACAGTGCTGCAACAAACATAGGACTGCAGATATCTCTACAACATACTGATCTTTTTTCTTTTGGGCATATACCCAGCAGTGGGATTTCTGGATTATATGGTTGCTCAATTTTTACTTTTTGAGGAACCTCCAAACGGTTCTCTATGGTGGTTGTACTAATTTACATTACCACCAACAGTGAATAAGGGTTCCCTTTACTCCACATCCTTGCCAGCATTTGTTATTGCCTGTATTTTGGATGAAAGTCATTTTAACTGGAGTGAGATTATATCTCATTGTAGCTTTGATTTGCATTTCTCAGATGATTAATGATGTTGAACACCTTTTCATATGCCTATTTACCATTTTTATATCTTCATTAGAGAAATGGCTGTTCAGATCTTTTCCCTATTTTTGATCAGATTATTATATTTTTCCTATAGTGTTGTTTAAGACTCATATACTCTGGTTATTAATCCCTTGTCAGATGGGTAGTTTGAAAATACTTTCTCCCATTCTGTGGGTTGTCTCTTCACTTTATTTATTGTATCCTGCACTGGACTGAAGATTTTTAACTTGATATGATCCCATTTGTCCATTTTTGCTTTGGTTGTCTGTGCTTGTGGGGCAGTGCTCAAGAAATTTTTGCCCAGACCAATATCCTAGAGTTTCTCCAACGTTTTCTTGTAGAAGTTTCATAGTTTGAGGTGTGAGATTTAAGTCTTTAATCCATTTTGATTTGATTTATGTATATGGTGATATAGGGGTTTAGTTTCTTTCTTCTGCACATGGATATTTAGTTTTCCCAGCATAATTTATTAAAGAGGGTGTCTTTTCCCACAATGTATTTTCTTGCCACCTTTGTCAAAAATGAGTTCACTGTAGGTATGTGAATTTGTTTCTGAGTTCTTCATTCTGTTTCATTAGTCTATATGTCTGTTTTTATGTCAATATCATGCTGCTTTGGTTATTATAGCTCTGTAGTATAAGTTCAAGTCAGGTAATGTTATTCCTCTAGTTTTGTTCTTTTTGCTTACGATAGTGTTGGCTATTCTGGATCTTTTGTGGTTCCATAAGAATTTTAGATTTTATTTTCTATTTCTATGAAGAACATCATTGATTTTTTGATAGGGATTGCATTGAATCTGTAGATTACTTTGTGTAGTATGGACCTTTTAACAATATTGATTCTTCCAATCCATGAACATGGATTTTTTTTTTCATTTCTTTTATGTCCTCTTCAATTTTCTTCATCAGTCTTTTATACTTTTCATTATAAAGTTCTTTTACTTCTTTGGTTAGTTCCCAGGTATTTAATTTTATGTGTGGGTATTGTAAATAAATTACTTTTTAAATTTATTTTTCACATTGTTCACTGTTGGTGTATAAAAATGCAACTGATTTTTTAATGTTGATTTTGTATCCTGCAAATTTACTGAACCTGTTCATAAATTCTAATAGTTTTCTTGTGGAGTCACATGTTTTTCCAAATATAAGATCATATCATCCGCAAACATGAATAATTTGATTTCTTCCTTTCCAATGTGGTTTTCTTTTATATCTTTCTCTTATCTGATTGCTTTAGCTAGAACTTCCAGTACTAGATTGAGTAATATTAGTGACGGTGGGCAACTTGGTTGTGTTTCAGATCTTAGAGGAAAAGCTGTCAGTTTTTCCCCGTTCAGTATGATATTAGCTGTGGGTCTGTCATATATAGCTTTTATCATGTTGAGATATGCTCCTTCTATGCCTAATTTTTGAAGGTTTTTATTATGAAGGGATGTTGAGTTCTATCAAGTGCTTTTTCTGCACCAATTAAAATGGTCATATGGTTTTTATCCTTCCTTCTGCTGATATGATATATCACATTGATTTATTTGCATATTTTGAATCATCCTAGCTTCCCAGAAATAAATCCTAAAGGGTCATAATCAAGGATTTTTCTAATATATTGTTGAATTCAGTTTGCTAGTATTTTGTTGAGAATTTACACATCACTATTCATCAGAGATATTAGCCTGTAGTTATATATTTTTTGATATATCTTTATCTGGTTTTGTGTCAGGGTAATACTGTCCTTTTAGAAGTTTGCAAGTATTCTCCCCTCCTCTTTTTTTCCAGAAGAGTTTGAGTAGGACTGCTATTAGTTCATCTTTAACTGTTTTGTAGAACTCAGCAGTGAAGCCATCAGGTCCTGGACTTTCCTTTACTGGGAGACTGTTTCTTATGGCATTGATCTCGTTACTTGTTATTGGTTTGCTCAGGTTTTGGATTTCTTCCTTGTTCAATCTTGGTAGTTTTTATGTGTGTAGCAATTTATGCATTTCGTCTAGATTTTCCAATTTACTGGCATAAAGTTGCTCATAGTAGCCACTAATGATTTCTTGAATTTCTGCAGTATCCGTTGTAATGTCTCCTTTTTCATTTCTGATTTAATTTATTTGGATTCGTAGTTGCTCTGGCTAGAGGTTTGTCAATTTTGCTTACATTTTGAAAAAAACAACTTATTGTTTCATTGATTTTTTTATTGCTTTTTCTTAGTAGCAAATATTTTGTTTTAAAATTTTTTTAATTTTTACTTTAAGTTTGGGAGTACATTTGCAGGATGAGCAGGTTTGTTACATAGGTAAATGTGTGTCATGAGGGTTGATTGTACAGATTATTTCATCACCCAGGTATTAAGCCTAGTGGCCATTAGTAATTTTTTTCTGCTTCTCTCTCTTCTCCCACCTCCAACACTCCAATAGGCCCCAGTGTGTGTTGTTCCCCTCTATGTGTTCATGTGTTCTCATCATTTAGCTCCCACTTATAAGTAAGAACATGAAGTATTTGGTTTTCTGTTCCTGCATTAGCTTGGTAAAGGTAATGACCTCCAGTTGCATCCATGTACCCGCAAAGGACACAAACTTATTATTTTTATGGCTGCACATTATTCCATGGTGTATATGTACCGCATTTTCTTTATCCAGTCTATTATTGATGGGCATTTGGGTTGATTCCATGTCTTTACTATTGTGAATAGTGTTGCAACGAACATATGCATGCATGTGTTTTTATAATAATGATTTATATTCCTTTGGGTATACACCCAGTAATGGGATTGCTGGGTCAAATGGTAGTTCTGTCCTTAGGTCTTTGAGAAATTGCCACGCTGTCTTTCACAATGATTGAATGAATTTACAGTCCCAACAACAGTGTAAAAGTGTTTCTTTTTAATAATAGCTATTCTGATGGGTGTGAGATGGTATCTCATTGTGGTTTTGATTTGCATTTCCCTAATGATCTGTGATGTTCAGCTTTATTCATATGATTGTTGGTCACATGTATGTCTTCTTTTGAGAAGTGTCTGTTCATGTCATTTGCTCACTTTTTAATGTTTTTTTCTTTTAAATTTGTTTAAAGTCCTTATAGATGCTGGATATTAGACCTTTGTCAGATGCATAGCTTGCAAAAATTTTCACCTATTCTGTAGGTTGTCTGTTTACTCTGTTGATAATATCTTTTGCTGTGCAAAAGCTCTTTAGTTTAATTAGATCCCATTTGTCAATTTTTGCCTTTGTTGCAATTGCTTTTTGCATCATCATCATGAAATCTTTGCCCATGCCTATCTCCTGAATGGTATTATCTAGGTTGTCTTCCAGGGTTTTTGTAGTTTTGGGTTTTACATTTAAGACTTTAATTCATCTTGAGTTGATTTTTGTATATTGTGTAAGGAAGGGATCCAATATTTTTTTGTATCTTTATTTCAATTTTATTTATCTCTACTTTTATATATATTATTTTTTTCTACTGATTTTGGGTTTGGTTTGCTCTTGCTTTTCTAATTCTTTAAGATGTATCATTAGATTGTTCACTTTAAATTTTTCCACTTTTTTTGATGTAGGCACTTATAGCTATAAACTTCCCTCTTACTACTGCTTTTGCTGAATCCCATAGGTTTTGGTAAGTTGTGTTTCTATTATCATTTGTTTCAAAAAAATTTTCACTTTCCTTCTTAATTCCTTCATATCTAGCAGATATGTAGCAGCAGTATGTCACAGCAGAAAGTACACTTGTTTTGGAGTTCAAATCTTGTTTGTGTCTTATTAGCTGTGTAGATTTAATATATTTACTTAATTTCTCTGAAATTCAGTTTCTTTATCTGATAAATGGAAGTAAATTTGCTTGCCTTGCCAATGCTTAAGATTGTTGTGAAATCAAATAAGGGAGTATGTAAATCTAAAATTTGTAAATTTGAGTAAAGGCACTTAATAAACTACAAATGGGGAGATCCACACCAGAGATAATTTTTTGATAAACTTTTCCAGTCCTTACTACATAACAGTGATCAAGTTACTGCCCTTTATCTTTTGTTTAAGCACTGTAGGTGAGAGGCAATATAACATGATTATTAAAAGCACAGATTCTGAAATCAGATTGCCTGTTTGAATCCTAGCATCACCACCTACTGGCTGTGTGACCTTAGAAAAGTCATTCGACTTCTCTAAACCTGTGTCCCCATCTGTAAAAGTGGAGACAATAATGGTATCTATCTCATGAGGTGGTTGTGAGAAATAAATGATAAAGATGCTTAACAAAGTGTTTGGTATGTAGTAAGCACTCTATATATGTTGACTTTTATCTATTATATACATAACATATATATATATAAAACATAAATATATATATGAAGATTAGTAACCAGAGATTCAAGAATTTTCTCCTCTTATTCTTACACTAGACTTGCAGATCAAAATCAGTGCAAAGGGTGAGAAAACTCCATAAAAGAATGGAGTAAAGTTCACATTACTCACATTTCATTTATTGAATTTCCATTTAGTTGTTTTCCAAACCCCCTTACCCTAGTTTGAGTATAAACTACAGATTGTGCCATAAACAGGCGAATATCATTATATCCTCTCTTTTATCTGGAGGGAAGGTTGCTTTCTCAGCAGCAAACTGGAACCTGGTTTCTGTGCTTCAGTATTTGTGTCAGCAGCAAAATTGAAAGTATTTTTCGTCACCTGCACTGCTGTCATCAGAAAAAAAAAAAAAAAGAAAGTAGGGGAACATAATTTTAGCACTAACACAAGTATCAGAATGATCTACCTGACTGTTTTGCTTCACCTTCATCTTAGCTTTCAGAGATTCATTCATCGATATTTTGTCTACACACGCATATCTCATTTTTATGCTGTTTCTCTCCCCACTGCCAGATGGTATGTTGTGTCCAGTGTCCATAGTGTTCATAAGGAGAATGAGGAAGATACGCAGATACATCTTATTGGCATTTGAGTGGGGCTCCCATAACCACATTTTCTAGTGTGAATCTCCCGTGAATAATGGGTCAGACCAAAGCAAACATTTGTTCACCATTGAAGAAATACTGGAAATGACTAAACAAATGTGAAACTAGAATCAAAAGAAATCAAATATTAAGGTATCTATTAAAAATTAAACATCGAAAGATTATGAGGTCAATCTCCTTGCTCATATTAAATTGTTTCAGATAGTACATGACCCAGTGCTCTGTATCCTCTACTTAAAATATCAAGGGCATGAAGTTGTGACCACATCCAGTGAGAGGTAATTTCACAGTCTAATACATCTAACTTGAGCATTTTTCCTAATATTTAGCTTGAATGTGCCTTACAAAAGAAAAATGACATAGTAAGTAAGTTTGAATAAGTGTAAGTAATTCCTTTTTTAGTCATAACAAACATTTCTTGAAAGAAAACAATGACCAATTCTGTCAGAAAGGCTTTCTAGCAGTGGTTAAGAGTGAATTGTGGTCAGGCAAGCCTGAGAATTCCATCTCTGCCACTTACTTGTGAAAACTTAGGTAAGTCTCTTAACTTCTCTAAGCCTCATTTTGTTCATCTGTAACTGGGAACAACAACTTCAATAACAATAACAAAAATGTCATATATATTGAAGAAATTTATTGTGAGAAATAAATGATAAAATAGAAATAATTACACAGTACAGTGCCTGGCATTAACATTAAATAAGTGGTAGTTATTTTTGTGGGAGGATCAAATTTGAAGATAACTAAAGTTTTTCTTTCCTGCATTTTCATGCTTCTGTGAAACCCTTCACCTACTGAATCATTGGCTTTCAAATTATCTGGAGAAAGTTTTCACCCAAAGGAACCCCTCAAGAACAAAATCACTTGTGTTTCTAAACAGATTTTTAAAAACTCAGAAAAGATAATAATTTTGAAAGTGAAGGCACTTTTGAATTGCAAAAGTTAAACTTTCTGAGAAGAAAGAGTTGTTTGCTTTTTGTTTTAGTTTTAAAAACTTGATTTTGAATTAAAAGTCTACAGATACTTGCAGGCTAATGCAGTAAAAGTTTATTCTAAAGTGTAAGTATTTTACACTAATATACTGTAGTGTATAGCAGTGGTTCACAGAGTGTGGTTCCTGTTCTAGAGGTATTAGTATCACTTGAGAGTTTGTTAGAAGTACAACATCTTAGTTCCTAAGACACTGAATCAGAAACTGTGGTGTGGCCCAACAATCTGACGTTTAACAAGTCCTCCAGGTTTTTCTCATGCATGCTCAAGTTTGAGATATACCGGTATATAGTATTAGTATAGATTAGGGATGCCTCCATGATAAAGTTAGAGCTAGCTTTTCAACCCACAATGAGCCAAAGCTGGCAAATACAGAATTGAGAGATGTCTTACTCTACTTGTGATAACAAAGTACCAAAGCCTGCATGACTTAAACAGCAGGAATTTATTTTCTCACAGTTCTGGAAGCTGGAAAAGCCTAAGATCAAGGTCCATGCAGGGTTCTATGTGTGGTTTGGTCTTGCTTCCTGTTTTGTAGATAGCAGATTTTTTCTCATATGATCCTTCTTCTGAGAAAGCATGGAGAGAGAAAGAGTGAGCTCTCTTGTGTCTCTTCTTACAGGCACACTAAGTCTACTGGATTATGGCCTCACTCATTATTATTATTATACTTTAAGTTCTAGAGTACATGTGCACAAAGTGCTGGTTTGTTACATAGGTATACATGTGCCATGTTGGTTTGCTGCACCCATCAATTCATCATTTACATTAGGTATTTCTCCTAACGCTATCTCTCCCCCATAATGCCCAGGTGTGTGATATTGCCCTCCCTGTGTCCATGTGTTCTCATTAACTTCCACTTATGAGTGAGAACATGTGGTGTTTGGTTTTCTGTCATTGAGATATTTTGCTGAGAATAATGGTTTCCAGCTTCATCCATGTCCCTGCAAAGACATGAACTCATCCTTTTTTATGGCTGCATAGTATTCCATGGTGTATATGTGCCACATTTTCTTTATCTAGTCTATTACTGATGGACATTTGGGTTGGTTCCAAGTCTTTGCTATTGTGAATAGTGCCACAATAAACATATGTGTGCATGTGTCTTTACAGTAGCATGATTTATAATCCTTTGGGTATATACCCAGTAATGGGATGGCTGGGTCAAATGGTATTTCTAGCTCTAGATCCTCGAGGAATTACCACACTCTCTTCCACAATGGTTGAACTAGTTTACAGTCCCACCAACAGTGTAAAAGCATTCCTGTTTCTCCACAACCTCTCCAGCATCTATTGTTTCCTGACTTTTTAATGATTGCCATTCTAACTGGTGTGAGATGGTATTTCAGTGTGGTTTTGATTTGCATTTCTCTGATGACCAGTGATGATGAGCATTTTTTCATATGTCTGTCGGCTGCATAAATGTCTTGTTTTGTTCATATGCTTTTCCCACTTTTTGATGGGGTCGTTTGTTTTTTTCTTATAAATTTGTTTAAGTTCTTTGTAGATTCTGGATATTAGCCCTTTGTCAGATGGATAGATTGCAAAAATTTTCTCCCATTCTGTAGGTTGTCTTTTTGCTCTAATGATAGCTTCTTTTGTTGTGCAGAAGTTCTTTAGTTTAATTAGATGCCATTTGTCAATTTTGGCTTTTGTTGCCATTGCTTTTGGTGTTTTAGTGATGAAGTCTTTGTCCATGCCTATATCCTGAATGGTATTGCCTAGGTTTTCTTCTAGGGTTTTTACGGTTTTAGGTCTTATATTTAAGTCTTTAATCCTTCTTGGATTAATTTTTGTATAATGTGTAAGGAAGGGATCCAGCTTCAGCTTTCTGCATATGGGAAGCCAGTTTTCACAGCACCATTTAATAAATAGGGAATCTTTTCTCCAGTGCTCGTTTTTGTCAGGTTTGTCAAAGATCAGATGGTGGTAGATATGTGATGTTATTTCTGAGGCCTCTATTCTGTTCCATTGGTCTATATATGTGTTTTGGTATCAGTACCATGCTGTTTTGGTTACTGTAGCCTTGTACTATAGTTTGAAGTCAGATAGTGTGATGCCTCCAGCTTTGTTCTTTCTGCTTTGGATTGTCTTAGCTATGCAGGCTCTTTTTGGTTGCATCTGTTGAGATAATCATTTGGTTTTTGTCATTGGTTCTGTTTATGTGATGGACTACATTTACTGATTTGCATATGTTGTCCCAGCCTTGCATCCCAGGGATGAAGCTGACTTGACCGTGGTGGATAAGCTTTTTCATGTGCTTCTGGATTCAGTTTGCCAGTATTTTATTGAGAATTTTCACATCGATGTTCATCAGGGATATTAGGCCTCACTCTTATAACCTAATTATCCTTGATTACCTCCATAAAGGCTATCTTCAAATACAGTCACATTGGGGTTGGGGCTTCAACATATGAATTGTGGGGAAACACAAAGCTTCAGTCTATAAAAGGAGATTAACAAATTAATACTGGTCTTAGTCTCTCACAAGAGGTTATTTGCCCTATCTCCCCCTTCTGGGTTGAAACCTCGCTTGGGAGTGTTTGTGGCCATAGTGGAATAAAATAGGAAAAAACAAAAATACATTTGCGGTAGAAGAGAACTCAGATCAGAGGACAGCTATGTGTTGCTTCATAGAATGTAGCCCAAGGGGACTGCAATTCTTGTAGAGAGGCCCCCAGGTTCAGCTTGGAATAGGAACAGTAGAGTAATAATGATTTAGTGAATTTCCTTACCCGATTATCCTAACGACAAAGTCCTATTTACTCCAGTAGCAGGGAGAGGGACTGAGAGATCATATGTTCTACTCACCCAGCACATACACACATGAGACATATAAGGCCCAAGGAGAGCCAATGAGCCTTAAAGGGACTCACAGTTGGGGAGAGAAAGATGAAGAGTGAACAGGCTTGTCAGCAAAAGAAAATGATGTCACCACTGGCATCCCAGACCATAGTAACGAGAGGGTGTATGTGTGACTATATCTGAGGAATAGACCCTCAAGCTTCTCAGTGGAAGCCAGCATTACACAGAAATCCACGGACAACCAGATATCCTCACCCACCATAATATGTAAGCTCTACCACTTCTACACTTTATAACATCTCTCAGGGAGAAGGAGGAGGGCAGCAACCTTAGCTGATTATGTTTAAACCCTAAATCTAATGAGCTTGGTAATGACTAGATGATGATGATGATGATGATGATGATGATGATGATTTTTCCCTTAGGCAGAATAAAAGCTCGGAGTCATTAAAATGAGTTGTAGCAAATGAAAGAAGGAGTAATGTTTGCACACCTGAATTTATGGCTGAGAATCATCAACTGCTAGATTATTATTATTATTATTACTACTAATAGTAGCAGCAGTAGCAGCTAGAGTATTTCTCTCTATATAAGGTGGAAAACCACTGAGCTTCATGAGCAACTGAAATAGATGCCACACTATTATATAGTGGCAAATCACTACTTTTTTTTCCATACATAACACTATTTGAACATGCAATTGCAACAGTTTTCTCTCAGTTTTGCTTCTCACCTGGGACATTATCAGCAAGTTTAGTTTTCAGAAGTAGTTATTGTATTGCACTTCATTTTTTGGTTGCCAGGCATTTACCAGATGAATATACTAACATTACATACACATTTATGATTTCCTATTTGTATCCAGTAGTAGTCCCCCCTTGTCTGTGGTTTCATTTTCCACAGTTTCATTTATCCACAGTCAGCCATGTTCTGAAAATAAATAAGTACAGTACAATAAGATATTTGAGAGAGAGAAGAACCACATTCACATAACTTGTATTATAGTATATTGTTTTAATTGTTCTGCTTTGTTATTAGCTACTGTTATCTCTTGCTGTGTCTAATATATAAATTAAACTTTATCATAGGTATGAATGCATAGGAGAAAACATAGTATATATAGATTCTGTACTATCCACAGTTTCAGTCATTTACTGGGGGTCTTGGAATATATCCCCTGAGGATAAGCAGGGAGTACAGTGTGTGTGTGTGTGTGTGTGTGTGTGTGCGTAATTTATAACTTACATAAATTGTTTATATGTGCCCATGTATGTGTGATTGGCATATATATATATGTGTGTATATATATATATATGTGTATATATATATGTGTATATATATGTGTGTATATATATGTGTATATATATATGTGTATATATATATGTGTATATATATATGTGTGTGTGTGT
Organism: Homo sapiens; assembly: GCF_000001405.40. Lineage (NCBI taxonomy): Eukaryota > Metazoa > Chordata > Mammalia > Primates > Hominidae > Homo > Homo sapiens. The sequence continues at coordinate 85,700,160 of NC_000023.11, read as the reverse complement.
ATATATATGTGTGTGTGTGTGTGTATATATATATATATATATATATATATATATATATATATATATCCTGCAATGATTTCTAAGCAATATCCTGTTAACCATAGTTTTGAATTTTCAACAATAAATTAAAACCTATCAACATTTCTTTCAGCTAAATTCCAAGGCTTCTAGAGGCTACCCAAGCCTTTGCAACTTCGGATGTGAAATCACCTTTGACTTATCCTCAGGCCACAGTGCTAAGCCACTGCAGATCTTATTGGCCTTCATCCATTTATACCTAAGTGGCAAACCAACCATCAAAATGGAAGGCAAAATTATATTTGCTTACTGGATTTTTCTATTAGGGCAAACCAATCATCAAAATGGAAGGGGAAATTATATTGGCTTACTAGAGTTTCCTATTAGGAACCCATTTTTATTTGAAAATAAATTCACATTTAAATATAATAAAAAATAAAAATAGTACAAAGAACTTTTGTATACCTTTTATGCAGCTATATCTATTGTTAATATTTTACTCCTGGGGGTGGAGTCAAGATGGCTGACTAGAAGCAGCGGCTTTCGGAAGCTCCTATTGAAAAAAAAAACAACGTAAGTGTGTGAATCTTTCACCAGCAACCAAAGGATCCGGGTTCTCTCATCAAAGTTGTCTAGAAGGCTGGCGTGATTCATGGAGAGAAGGAAGAAAAGTGTGGTGTGGCGGCCCACCTGATAGCCACGAGCCGCATGGGAAAGGAAAGCTTCCTCCCCCTAGCCAAGGGAGGTGGTGAGTGAGTTTGCTATCCAGCTGGGGAAACTGTTATTTTTCCACTGTACTGTGCAGCCCATGGACCGGATGATCCCACTTGTGAATCCATGCCACCGGGTCCTAGTGTTCCAAGCCCAGAATGCACAGATTCTTAACAGCCTCTCAGCTGGAATCTGCTTAAGCTTACTGAACTCCTGGGGGGAAAAGTGACCAGCACCAGCTACAACTGCCTGCTGTTTAAGCCATTTGAGCTCCTTGGGGGAGGGGTGGCAGCCAGCACTGGGACTCGCAACTGCCTAACACGCTAAGCTCCCTGAGTGGGGGAAGGGCGACACCCATTTCTATAGCTCCAGGCTGTGCTTTTTCCCTGCTGGAGCCAAGTAGGATGGACGACTTGGTCCCAAGACTTGTCCCCACAGCCCAACACACCAGCTGTGGCAGTCTTCAGCCAGAGTGCCTCTTCAGGCCTAAACCTGAACCATCCTTCTTCATTGGAAGGGGCTTCCCTGCAGGATCTCCAATAACTCCCAACAGAGGCTCAGTGACAGAATTCAGATCTCCCTGGGCCTGAGCCCCTGGGGAGAGGGATGGCTGCGGTCTCTGCAGACAAGCAGACTTATCCTTTTCTCCTGGTAGTTCTGAGGAATCCAGGCAGCCCAGACGAGTGGGTTTCCCCACAGCAAAGCACACCCCTTCCACCAAGGGACAAAGTGCTTCTTTAAATGGGTCCAGTTCCTCGTGCCACCCAACTGGGTGAGATCCTCCAACAGGGCTTGTCAGGCAGGAATGATCATTCTGGCATCAGGTTGGTGCCTGTAGAGGTCAGAGGTCCCAGAAGAAACAGGCACCCATCTTTGCTGTTCTCCAGTCTCCTTGAGGGACATCTCCAGGCACAGGAGTGAATCAGATGAATACAGCCTGAAGTGAACCCTCAGCTAACTGCAGCAGCCCTACAGAAGTGGGACCTGACTATTGAAAGAAAAACAATCAGAAAGTGACAATAACAATATAAACAACAACAAAAAAGGCCCACACAAAAACCCCATCCAAGGATCAGCAGCTTCAAAAACGAAAATTAGACAAACACGAAGATGAGAAAGAGTCAACAAAAAAAAAAATGCTGAAAACTCAAAAGGCCAAAGTGCTTCTTCTCCTCCAAATGATTGCAACATCTCTCCATCAAGGGCACAAAACTGGATGAAGGATTAGATAGACAAATGGACAGAATTAGGCTTCAGAAAGTGTGTAATAGACAACTACACTAAGCTAAAAAGGTATGTTCTAACCCAATGCAAGAAGCTAAAAACCTTGATAAAGGATTAGAGGAATTGCTAGCTAGAATAACCAGTTTAGAGAGGAACATAAACGACCTGATGGAGCTGAAAAACAGCACGAGAACTTTGTGAAGCATACACAAGTATCAATAGGCAAATCAACCAAGCAGAAGAAAGGATATCAGAGTTTGAAGACCTCCTTATTGAAATAAGACATGCAGACAAGAATAGAGAAAAAAGAATGAAAAGGAAAAAATAAAGTCTTCAAGAAATATGGTCCTTCATAAAAAGACTGAACCTATGATTAATTGGAGTACCAGAAGGAGACAGGGAGAATGGAAACAAGCTGGAAAACACACTTCAAGATATTATCCAGGAGAACTTCCCCAACCTAGCAAGACAGACTCAAATGCAAATTCAGGAAGTAAAAAGAACACCATTAAGATAATTCATGAGAAGATCAACCACAAGGCACATAATAATCAGATTTTTCAAGTTTGAAATGAAGGAAACACTGTTAAGGGCAGTCAGAGAGAAAGGCCAGATCATCTACAAGGGGAAGCCCATCAGAGTAACAGCAGACCCCTCAGCAGAAACTCTACAAGCCAGAAGAGATTGGGTTGTATTCTACGTTCTTAAAGAAAAGAATTTTGAACTCAGAATTTTATATCCAGCAAAACTAAGCTTCATAAGCCAAGGAGAAATAAAATCCTTTCCAGACAAGCAAATGCTGAGGGATTTCATTACTACCAGGCCTTTCCTGCAAAAGCTCCTGAAAGAAGCACTAAATATGGAGAGGAAAAACCGGTATGATCCACTGCAAAAACACACCAAAATATAAAGACCAATGACACTATGAAGAAATTGCATCTACTAGTGTGCAAAATAACCAAATAGCATCATGGTGACAGGATCAAATTCACACATAACAATACTAATGTTAAATGTAAATAGGCTAAATGCCCCAATTAAAAGACACAGACTGGCAAATTGGATAACGAGTCAAGACCCATCAGTTTGCTGTATTCAGGAGACCATCTTATGTGCAAAGACACACACAGGCTCAAAATAAAGGGATGGAAGAAATTTTCCCAAGTAAGTGGAAAGCCAAAGAAAGCAGGGGTTGCAATCCTAGTTGCTGATAAAACAGACTTTAAACCAAGAAAGACCAAAAAAGCAAAAAAGGGCATTACATAATGGTAAAGGGAACAATTCCACAAGAAGAGCTAACTATTCTAAATAATATGTATGCACCCAATACAGGAGCACCCACATTCATAAAACAAGTTCTTAGAGACCTATACGGAGATGTAGACTCCCACACAATAATAGTGGAAGACTTTGACACCACACTGTTGGTATTAGACAGATCAACGACACAGAAAATTAACAAGAATATTCAGGACTTGAACTCAGCTCTGGATCAAGTGAACCTGGTATACATCTACAGAACTCTCTACCCCAAATCAATATAATATACATTCTTCTCAGTGCCACATGGCACTTATTCTAAAATTGAGCACATAATTGTAAGTAAAATGTTCCTCAGCAAATTCAAAAGAATTGAAATCATAACAAACAGTCTCTCAGACCACAGTGCAATCAAATTAGAACTCAGGATTAAGAAACTCACTCAAAACCACACAATTTCTTGGAAATTGAACAACCTACTTATGAATGACTCCTGGGTAAATAATGAAATTAAGGCAAAGATCAAGAAGTTCTTTGAAACCATTGAGAATAAAGAGACAATGTACCAGTATCTCTGGGACACAGCTAAAGAAGTGTTAAGATGGAAATTTATAGCACTAAATGTGAACATCAGAAAGCTAGAAAGATCTCAAATTGACATGCTAGCATCACAATTAAAAGAGCTAGAGGGGCAAGAGCAAACTAATCCAAAAACTAACAGATGACAAGAAATAACTAAGATCAGAAAATAATCAAAGACAGAGACACAAAAAACCCTCCAAAAAAGTCAGTGAATCCAGGAGCTGTTTCTTTGTAAAAGTTAACAAAATAGACAGACTGCTAGCTAGACTAATAAAGAAGAAGACAGAGAAGAATCAAACAGACACAATAAAAAATGATAAAGGAGATATCACCACTGACCCCACAGAAATACAAACTACCATCAAAGAATGCTATAAACACCTCTACATGGAAAAACTAGAAAATCTAGAAGAAATTGATAAATTCCTGAATGCATACAGCCTAACAAAGACTAAAACAGAAAGAAGTCAAATCCCTGAATAGACCAATAACAAGCTCTGAAATTGAGGCAGTAATTAGTAGCCTACCAAAGGAAAAAAAAAAAAAAAGCCCAGAACCAGATGGATTCACAGCTGAATTCTACCAGAAATACAAAGAGGAGTTGGTATTATTTCTTCTGAAACTATTCCAAACAATTGAAAAGGAGGGACTTCTCCCTAACTCATTTTATGAAGCCAGCATCATCCTGATACCCAAACCAGGAAGAGACAAACAAAAAAAGAAAACTTCAGGCCAATATCCCTGATGAACATTGATGTGAAAATCCTCAATAAAATACTGGCAAACCAAATCCAGCAGCACATCAGAAAACTTATCCACCATGATCAAGTCAGCTTTATTCCTGAGATGCAAGGCTGTTTCAACATATGCAAATATATAAATGTAATCCATCACATAAACAGAATCAAAGACAAAAACTACATGATTATCTCAATAAATGCAGAAAAGGCCTTTGATAAAATTCAACATCCTTTCATGTTAAAAACTCTCAATAAACCGGGTATTGATGGAACATATCTCAAAATAATAAGCGCTATTTATGACAAACCCACAGCCAATATCATATTGAATGGGCAAAAGCTGGAAGTATTCCCTTTGAAAACCAGTACAAGACAAGGATGCCCTCTCTCAACACTCCTATTCAACATAGTATTGGAAGTACTGGCCAGAGAAATCAGGGGAGAGAAAGAAATAAAGGTATTTAAAATGGAAGAGATGAAGTAAAGTTGTCTCTGTTTGCAGACAACATGATTTTATATTTAGAAATTCCCATGATCTCAGCCCAAAAACTTCTTGAACTGATAAGCAACTTCAGCAAAGTCTCAGGACATAAAATCAATGTGCAAAAACCACAAGCATTTCTTGACACCAACAATAGGTAAGCAGAGAGCCAAATCATGAATGAACTGCCTTTCACAATCGCTACAAAGAGAATAAAATACCTAGGAATACAGCTAACAAGGGATGTGAAGGACCTCTTCAAAGAGACCTACAAAGCACTGCTAAAGAAAATAAGAGAAAATTTAAACAAATGGAAAAACATTCCATCCTCATGGATAGGAAGAATCAATATTGTGAAAGTGCCCATACTGCCCAAAGTTAGTTATAGATTCAATGCTATTCCAATAAAACTACCTTTGACGGTTTTTACAGAATTAGAAAAAATTATTTTAAATTTCATATGGAATCAAAGAAGACCCTGTATAGTCAAGATAATCCTAAGCAAAAAGAACAAAGCTGGAGGCATCAGGCTACCTGACTTCAAACTGTACTACAAGGCTGCAGTAACAAAAACAGCATGATACTGGTATCAAAGCAAATATATAAACCAATGGAGCAGAACAGAGACCTCAGAAATAACACCACAAATCTATAACCATCAGATATTTGACAAACCTGGCAATAACAAGCAATTGGTAAAGGATCTCCTATTCAGTAAACGGTGCTGGGAAAACTGGCTAGCCATATGCAGAAAACTGAAACTGGACCCCTTCCTTACACCTTATACAAAAAGTAACTCGAGATGGACTGAAGACTTAAATGTAAAACCCAAAACCATAAAAACCCTAGAAGAAAACCTAGGCAATACCATTCAGGACCTAGGCATGGGCAAAGACTTTATGAAAAAAATGCCAAAAGCAATGCCAACAAAAGCCAAAATTGACAAATGGGATCTAGTTAACTAAAGTTAAAGAGCTTCTGCACAGCAAAAGAAACTATCATCAGAGAGAACAGGCAACTTACAGAATGAGAGAAAATTTTTGCAATCTACCCATGTGACAAAGTTCTAATATTCAGAATTTGCAAGGAACTTAAACATATTTACAAGAAAAAGGCAAACAACCCCATCACAAAGTGGGCAAAGGATATGAACAGACACTTTTCAAAAGAAGACATTTACGTGGCCAACAAACATGAAAAAAAGCTCAACATCACTGATCATCAGAGAAGAGCAAATCAAAACCAAAATGAGATAACATCTCATGCCAGTCAGAATGGCAATTATTAAAAAGTCAGGAAACAATAGATGCTGGTGAGGCTGTGGAGAAATAGGAACACTTTTTACCGCTGGTGGGAATGTAAATTATTGCAACCATTGTAGAAGACAGTATGGCGATTCCTCAAGGATCTAGAACCAGAAATACCATTTGACCCAACAATCACATTATTGAGTATATACCCAAAGGAATATAAATCATTCTACTATAAAGACACATGCACATGTATGTTTATTGCAGCACTATTTACAATAGCAAAAACATGGAACCAACCCAAATGCCCATCAATTATAGACTGGATAAAGAAAATGCTGTACATATACACCATGGAATACTATGCAGCCATAAAAAGGAATGAGATCATGTCCTTTGCAGGGACATGGATGAAGCTGGAAGCCATCATCTTCAGCAAACTAACACAGGGACAGGAAACCAAATACTGCATATTCTCACTCATAAGTGGGAGTTGAACATTGAGAACACATGGACACAGAGAGGGGAAAAACACACACCAGGGCCTCTTGGGGGGGTGTGGGGTGAGTGGAGGGAACTTAGAGGATGGGTCAATAGGTGAAGCAAACCACCATGGCATATGTTTACCTATGTAACAAACCTGCATTTTCTGCACATGTATCCCCTTTTTTTTAGAAGATAAAAAAGAATATAAAAATAAAATAAATATTTTACTCCTTTTGCTCTCTGTCTCCTCACACACACACATAATTTTATAATATTTTTCTGAACCATTCACGGGTGAGCCATGTGCATCATGAGCCTAAGAATATGACAAAATACTTTTATCTAACATATCTCTTATATTCCAACTATGCCAGTTGACCCAGTAGTGTCCTTTACAGCATTTTCTCCTTGAGTTGAGAATCCAGTCTAGAACCTGGTAGCACATATAATTGTCATATCTCGCTAGGCTTCTTTAATCTGGGACAGGTCCACAGCCTTTTCTTGCCTTTTGATCATCCAGTCAAGGTGCTGCCCAAATTATTTGATGTATAATTACTGGTTATATTACTTTTTTGTAACTAATAAGTTGTCTGTGGGAAGTCACTTGGAGAATATGCATAATTTCCCCCAAGATTCAGCCTCCACTTATCATATTTTATTAATTTAGTCTTTATTATGATTATTGTTAAATAATTATTTTTTAGCTCCAGTACTTCCTTCATACTTATCAGCAATCTATTTCAAGGAAAAACCCTTCCCCCATATTTATTTATATATTTATCTATTACTGTCAGTGTGGACTCATGAATTCTTATTTTTTCAGTGGTTTACTCAGTAATTTTGGTGCTTATATTGTCTCAGATTTTTCCAGCAGGAATTTTTTTCAATTTGTTAACTGCATTTTGTGGCATGCTCCCAATGAAATGAAAATTTCTATTATGCTTTTGGTATAACAAAACATAATATGTTTTTTTACATTTCAGGCTCATTTTGTGTCTACCCTACCCTAGCTCTGGCATCAGTCATTTCTCCAAATATCCCTAAGAATCAGGTTTTTTTTTTTTGCTCTAATTGTGCTACATGTTTTGAGCAGGGTTCGGATTTACTTATTATATTGTCTGTTTTCTTTCATCTTTTTATATTTTGATGACATTCAAGCAAGAATGAGTCTCTCCCACTGGTGGAAAAAGAAATTAAATTGGAACTTCCTCTCCAAAACTCTTCTCCCAATATGTTAAATAGACATAATTAGTACCATATCTAATTTGTGGGTGCAAGGCTGGGTGTATCAAAATGGAGAAAGACTATTTCACTTCCAGCTTCAGTATCTGTATAGTACTGTGTATGCAAGCCTATTTAATAGAAATATGTATATAAATGTATATAATGCAAGAATACTGCAGTTAAATTAAGCTGTTTCCTGTTTTATCCAAATTGCATGGGAGAAATTTCAATCCTTGGAAAGGAACACAAGACAAAAGCAAATGAAAGAGTATAATTTTAAATGTTTACAAATATTGCCTTTTTCAGTGTAATTCTTACATAAACAAATAAATGAATAACATGGATGTTTTGTGGTACTGCCTACAGCTCTGGGTATGTTGTGCAACCCCATATTGGAAGAGAAAAACTTGTTACAAGATAAAGCCATAGACAAGTAAAGATTCTGTATGAAACCATCTAGTTATAGTGAACTTTATTTCTTCGAGCAATCTAATAGGATGTGAGGATGGCAGAGCATCACTTATGGGAAGGCAGAACAACTGTGATTTGGTTGATGAAATGCCCCAACCACAGCATTTCTGGCTCCAAGAATAGTCCAGGCTAACAATAACTATCCTTTCTGAAGCTATCAGAGGCTGAGAAAATGAATATGAGCTCTTTGCCGCATAGAGATGAGGAAGTCTCATTTCTAGGGAATCATTTTTCTCCGTTCTGGAAGAGAATAGCCAGGCTATTCAGAAAGCAATGAAAAAGAGGATATTTGAAAGTTGCATGCACACTGACATGTGCTCTGGCTTTCTAATCTTGGGGAGGAGTACAGTGTCAGTCACAGAAAATTAAAATTCCAAAGGATGAATTTAGCTATATAGTAGAGAATGTGCTTCAATCAAAAAAGACTATTGCCACCTGGCTGAAAATATTTTCATTATTTCTTTCTTTTTGGTTTAGGACTTCTTGTATAAAACAATGCAAGACAAAATTCATAGGAACCCCCCCCCCCACCAATATTTGTTGGTGTTATTTCTTCTGGCAATAGCATCATCATTGCTTCAGACTGAACACAAGCATGGAGGAGAACCCCTCAAATCCCATGACCCCATCCCAAAGAAAGTGGTCTTTGGGAGAGGGTGCATCTATCTGCCTTTGACTTATGAGAAACAACAGTATCTCTCAAAGCAACTTCAAACCTAGGAAGTTAGGTTGTGAGAACCATAACGAAGAAATAACTTCAGCATTGTCTAAGATATTAGGTTGTGACATTGTACCTATTATAGAGGTCCTGAATAATTATGGAATCCTAACAGCCAACATTGAGTTCATATGGACATAAAGATGGGAACAGTAGACCCTGGGGACTACTAGTGGGAGGATCCTAATATCTCATAATGGAGTCACTCAGGTTAAGTGTTACAAAGCCCATACTGAAGTTGTTTACTGCTCAAAGTGATAAGCATATGTGCACTTGAATGAGCATTATGTCCAAGTAAAATTGTTTTTCCTCGAAGTTATAAACATATGTGTAATAGGCTGAGCATTAATCTCACAGTAAAGTCGGTTTCCTTTAAAGTAAGAAACATGCGTAATAGGTGAGATAAAACCAGCTGTGGTATGATACCACCTGAAAGCAAGAATGAGCCAATAGAAAATTGAGCCAAAAGGTTGATGAGATAATGATAATGGGCACAGTTGTAGAATATCATTAAAACAGCAAAGAACTGACAATGCACAAGACACCTTTAGAATTTCTGCCTGTAAGATTTCTGAAGCCTACTCCAGGCTTTGACAATTGCTACCCGGAGGTTCTGTCTGATAGGAGCAGATATTCCCCCACTGACCAGCTACTGACTTCCAGATCTACTCCAGTTTTCTCTTAGTGTGCTGGCTTTCCCAGCCATCACTGTGGTTTGTCATCCTCCCTAATTACTGGCTTTAACAATTGAATTAGATTGTGAATGTTTGCTCAGTTGATCGTGTGTGTGATCATGTGTGTGAATCTAATGCTCAAATTCTCTTGCATGAATTTGAGCATTAGAAAAAAGACCTGATATTGGTATTTTTCTTCTTCTTTTTCTTTATCTGATCATTTTTTCATATCTTAATTGACTGCATGTATGTCTTCTTTGAAGAAGTGTCTGTTCATGTCCGTTGCCCATTTTTAATGGCATTATTTGTTTTGTACTTGTTGAATTAAGTTCTTTATAGATTCTAGATATTATAACTTTGTCTGATGCATAGTTTGCAAACATTTTCTCTCATTCTTTAGGTTGTCTGTTTACTCTGTTGATAGTGTCTAGTGCTGTGCAGAAGCTCATTAGTTTAAGTCCCATTTGTCTATTTTATGCTTTTATTGCATTTGCTTTTGAAGTCTTAGTCATAAATTCTTTGCCTAGGCCAAAGTCCAGAATAGTTTTTCCTAGGTTTCCTTCTAAGACTCTGATAGTTTGAGGTCTTACATTTAAGTCTTCAGTTCATCTTGAGTCAATTTTTGTATATGGTGAGAGATTGGGATCCAGTCTTATTCATTTGCATATGGCTAGCCAGTTTTCACAGCATCATTTATTGGAGAGGGTGTGTATTAGTCCAGTCTTACACTGCTATAAAGAACTATCTGAGTCTGGGTAATTAATGAAGAAAAGGTGTTTGGTTGACTCACAGCTTCACAGGCTGCACAGGAAGCACAGCTGGGAGGCCTCAGGAAATTTACAGTCATGGTGGAAAGGTGAAGGGGAAGCAAGCACATCTTACCGTGGCAGAGCAGGAGAGAGAGAGAGTAAAGACAGGAGTGCCACACACTTTAAAACCATCAGATCTTGTGAGGACTCACTCACTATCACAAGAACAGCAAGGGGGAAATCCGCCCCAATGATCCAATCACCTTTAACCAGGTCCTTCCCCCAACACTGGGAATTAAAATTCAACATGACATTCAGGTGTGGACAAAGTGCCAAACCATATCAGGGTGTCATGCCCTGTGGTTTATTTTTGTTGATGTTGTCAAAGATCAGTTGGTTGTAGGTATGTGGCTTTATATCCAGGTTCCCTATTCTGTTCCATTGTTTGACGTATCTATTTTTTTATACCACTACAATGCCATTTTTGGTTACTGTGGCCTTGATCATTATTGGTGTATCAAAATGCTACTGATTTTTGTATGCTTACTTTGAATCCTTAGACTTTACTGAATTTAAATTTAAGAGTCCTTTGGAGGAGTATTTGGGATTTTATAGGTATTATCAACAAACAGAAAATTTGACTTCCTCTTTTCCAATTTGGATACATTTTATTCTTTCTCTTCCCTGATTGCTCTGGCTAGGACTTCCAGTATTATGTTGAATAGGAATGGTGAAAGTGGGTGTCCTTCTCTTGTTCAACATCTTAAGAGGAATGTTTTCAGCTTTTTCCCATTCGGTATGATGTTGGCTGTGGGTTTCTCATATATAGTTTTTACTATTTTGAGATATACCCCTTCTATTCCTAGTTTTTTGGAGGTTTTTGTCATAAAGAGATGCTAAATTTTACCAACTGCTTTTTCTACATCTGTTGAGATGATAACATGGTTTTTTGTTATTGATTCTCTTTATGTGGTGAATCACATTTATTGATATGCATAGGTTGAACCATTCTTGCATCCCTGGAATAAATCCCACTTGATCACGGTGTATTATTTTTTTGATGTGGGTGTTGAATTTGGTTTCCTAGTATTTTGTTGAGAATTTTTAAATCTATGTTAATCCAAGATATGGGTGTGTAGTTTTCCTTTTTGTCGTGTCATTCTTTGACTTTGTTATCAGGGTGATACTGGCTTTGTAGAATGAGTTAAGGAGGATTTCCTCCTCCTTGATTTTGGAACATTTTCTGTAGGATTGGTATTAGTTCTTTTTTATACATTTGGTAGCATTTGGCCATGAATTCATGTGATCTCAGACTTTTTTTGTTGAGAGATTCTTATTGCTGACTCAATTTCACTCATTATTGGTCTGTTCAGGATTTTTATTTCTTCCTGGTTCAATTTTGGAAGTTTGCATATTTCCAGAAATTTATCCATTTCCTCTAGGTTTCCTAATTTGTGAGCATAGAGTTGTTCATAGTAGAGAAGGCTTAATATTGTTAAAATGTTTATACTACCAGTGTTAGGATTTTCCAGAGAAACAGAACCAATAGAATACATACCTTTATACATTTAACTATTATGTGGAATTGGCTTATGTGATTATGGAGGCCTAGAAATCTCCAAATCTGCAGTTGCCAAGCTAAAAACCCAAGAGAGCCAATGGTAGTACAAAGCCCTAAGAATTAAGAAAGCTGATGGTGTAGCTAGTCTGAGTCCAACAGGCTCAAGACCCAGGAAGAGCCAATGTTTCAGTTTGAGTCTAAAGGCAGGAAAAAAAAAAAAAAAACAGATGTCCCAGCTTGAAGGCCATCAGGTCAGATAAATTCCCTCGTACTCAGCCTTTTTGTTCCATTCAGGCTTTCAACTGATTGGATGAGGCCTATCCAAATTAGGGAAGTCAATCTGCTTTACTCAGTCTACAGACTCAAATCTTCATTCAGAAAAACCCTCCTAGACATATCCAGAATAATGCTTTGACTAAACATCTGGGCATCCAATGACTAATCAAGTTGACACATAAAATTAGCCATCATACTACACAAAGAAATCTACAGACTCAATGCAATCTCTATCAAAATTCCAATGTACTTTTTGCAGCAATAAAAACAATAACTTAAAATCTATATGGAATCTCAAATGACCCAAATAGCCAAAACAGTCTTGAAAAAGAAGAATAAATTTGGAGACCTCACCCTTCCTGGTTTCAAATTTACTACAAAGCTATAGTAAACAAAACATACAGTGTGGTAATAGCATAAAGACAGATATATAGACCAATGAAAAAGAATAGAGAGCCCAGAAATAAACCCTTCAGTATAGAGTCAAATGATGTTTGATGAGAATGCCAAGACCACACAATGGAAAAAAGGCAGTTTCTCCAAGAAGTGATGTTGGGAAAACTGGATAGTCACATGAAAAAGAATAAATTTGACTGCTACTTTACATCACATACAAAAAATATTTTAAAATGTATTAAAGGAGGCTTAGAGATCATCATAGCAGATGGAAGGCAGGACTAGATTGCAGCTCTGGACAGAGCAGCTTGCGGAAGCTTGCATTGCGAATTTTAGCTACAGATAGACTGCTAGAACAAACCAGCAATCCCAACAAGATCCACAGACCCTCTGAAGGAAGCAGACTGCTCCTGCAGTACCTGGGAGACACCCCAAATACTGTGAGTGCCCCAACTGCAGAAGTGGGAAAGGGAGACCCTTCTCTCCTGCACACACACCCCCACTGGAGAAGTTGAAGGTTTGTTTGCCGGAGAAGTTTCCCACATTACCTGTAGCTGAGCCAATTTAGAGAGCCGAGTGAAATACAGGGGTAGAGGAAGGAGCAGAAAGGTCCTGGGAGCTTGCTGCATCTCCTAGCAGGCGATTCCTGCCTGGCACCACAGGGATCCGTTGGGTGGGTGACCAGAGGAGCAGGGGGTATAACTCCACAGGGAGAAGGAAATCTTTAGCTGAACTTTGTAATAATTTGAACAGAGCAAGATGCCTCCTGGCCAGATCTCGGGGGAGGGTGCAAATCTGGTGTTCAGACTACATAAGTGGGGAAGAACCAAGCCCTTTTCTCTTGCAGCTGGGAGGAGGGTAGCCCAGGGCAAATTTTCAACCCCATCATACCCTCCACCTGGAAACAGACTCAGGGCTGTTGTGGGGGCACGGTGGGAGTGAGACCAGCCCTTCATTTTGCGTGGGAGCTGGATGAGGCCTGTGACTGATGGCATTTGCCCACTTCCCTGACAATCTGCATGACTCAGCAGAGGTAGCTATTATCCTCCTAGGTACACAACTCCAATGACCTGTGAATCTCACCCCCATCTCCCACAGCAGCTGCAGCAAGACCCACCTAAGGAGAATCTGAGCTCAGAGACGTCTAGCCCCACCACCACTTGATGGTCCTTCCCTATCCACCCTGGTAGCAGAAGACAACAGGCATATAATCTTGGGAGTTCTAGCGCCCCGTCCACCACCAGTTCCTTTGTATACTACTACAGCTGGTGCTTTCTGGAAAGTGCCACCTCCTGGCAGGAAGCCAACCAGCACAAAAATAGAGCATTACAACAAAGCTAAGAACCCTCACAAAGTCCATTGCACTCCCCAACCACCTCCACTGGAACAGGCACCGGTATCCATGGCTGAGAGACACATAGATAGTTCACATCACAGGACTCTGCAGACAATCCCCAGTACCAGCCTGGAGCCGGTAGACTTGCTGGGTGGCTAGACCCAGAAGAGAGAAAACAATCACTGCAGTTCAGCTCACAGGAAGCCACATCCATAGGAAAACGGGGAGACTACTATATCAAGGGAATATCCCCTTCTGAACAACACCTTCAGCCCTAGACCTTCCCTCTGACAGAGCCTACCCAAATGAGAAGGAACCAGAAAACCAGCCCTGGTAATGTGACAAAACAAGGCTCTTTAACACCCCCCAAAAATCATGGTAGCTCACCTGCAATGGATCCAAACCAAGAAGAAATCCCTGATTTACCTAGGTCCTAGCTATTTTATCTTTGTTTTTATTGCATTTGCTTTTGGGTTCTTGGTCATGAAATCTTTGCCTAAGCCAGTGTCGACAAGGGTTTTTCCAATGTTATTTTCTAGAATTTTTATAGTTTCAGATTTTAGGTTTAAGTCCTTAATCTATCTTGAGTTGATTTTTGTATAAGGAGATAGATGACGATCCAGTTACATTCTCCAACATGTGGCTAGCCAATTATCCCAGCACCCCAGCACCATTTGTTGAAAAGGGTGTCCCTTCCCCACTTTATGTTTTTGTTTGCTTTGTTGTAGATCAGTTAGCTATAAGTATTTGGGTTTATTACTGGGTTCTCTATTCTGTTCCATTGGCCCATATGCCTATTTCTATACCACTACCATGCTGTTTTAGTGACTATAACATAATAGTATAGTTTGAAATCAGGTAGTGAGATAAATAGATGAGACTTGATTAAATTAAAAAGCTTCTTCACAGCAAAAGAAATAATCAACAGAGTAAACAGAAAACCCACAGAGTGAAAGAAAATCCCAATCTATACATCTGACAAAGGACTAATATCCAGAATTTACAACGAACTCAAACAAATCAGTAAGAAGAAAACAAACAATCCCATCAAAAAGTGGGCCAAGGACATGAATAGACAATACTCAAAAGAAGTTATAAAAATAGCCAACAGATGTATGAAAAAATGCTCAACATCACTAATGATAAGGGAAAGGCAAATCAAAACCACCATGTGATACCACCTTACTCTTGCAAGAATGGCCATAATCAAAAAAATCTAAAAACAGTAGATGTTGGCATGGACACAGTGAACAGGTGGGAATGTAAATTAGTACAGACACTATGGAAACAGTGTGGAGATTCCTTAAAGAACCAAAAAGAAAACTACTATTTGATCCAGCAATCCCACTACTGGGTATCTAACCAGAGGAAAATAAGTCATTGTTCAAAAAAGATACTTGTACACACATGTTTAGAATTGCACAATTCGCAGTAGCAAAATCATGGAAACAACCCATATGCCCATCAATCAATGAGTGGATAAAGAAACTGTGGTATATACGTACAATGGAATACTATGCAGCCATAAAAAGAAATGAATTAACAGAATTTGCTGTGACGTGGATGAGATTGGAGACTATTATTCTAAGTGAAGTAACTCAGGAATGAAAAAACAAACATTGTATGTCCTCACTGATACGGGGGAGCTAAGCTATGAAGACACAAAGGCATAAGAATGATACAATGGACTTTGGGGACTTTGGGGGAAAAGTGGGAAGAGAGTGAGGGGTAAAAGTCTACAAATATGGTGCAGTGTATACTCCTCGGGTGATGGATGCACAAAAATCTCACAAATCTGCAGTGAAGAACTTACTCACGTAACCAAATACCACCCTTACCCCAATAACTTTTGGAAAAAATTAATTAATTAGTTTTTTAAAATGTGTTAAAGATCTAAAGATAAGAGCTAAAACTTTTTTTTTTTCAAATTGGTGAATTAGAGGCTTTCAGCATGCCTCAGGCACCTGGAAATAACAATATACGGTATAAAGATAGACTCTGAGCTTTAATTCAAGAAAGAAAAAAGGGAATCCATCAGAATTGTGAAGAATACCACAGATCTTGGAAATGAGAATGCTGATAAACTGCCCCCATGATGGCATTTGGCTGATAAAAGTGAGTGAAACCCCAGTACATGAGAGAGGAAGAGATCCACCCTCTGTGACTCACTTTTCCATTAGATATCCAAGCAAACCAGGCCAATGGAGAACACTTTGCTTCTCCCAAGTCCTGGAGTTAACCTGGGGACAGGCTTGGAGATGCTGTGAGGGAAAGAAACCAGGGAAAGCTTCACGCATTTTCCCAGACCCAGGACTGAGAGCAGGGTACAACCTTTAACCCAGGTGCATCCGAAGTCAGCAATTCTTTGGCAACCTGGCAGTGTGGCCAAGCAGGCATTTAGTCTTGGGTCAGAGATTGGAGTTCCTGCTCTGGAGTAGAGTAGCGGCCTCCATAGCCAGAACTGTGAAAAGTGCCTCAACAGTAGGTGCTATAACTGTGCTCATTCCCTTCCCATGCCTGGGGTGGGATGAGAGCTGCTATAGCTGCAGTTTCTTTTGGGCAAAAAGTCTTGCACTCAGGGCTAGCTTGGCAACATTGAACCGATCTGCATGTACCATTGCTGGGTTCCCCACCCTGCTTCTCTGATACCACAATACAGGGGGGCCCTTTCTGCTCCACCCTGAGGCAGAAATCCAGGCATTGGAGGACCCACTTGTCTGGATCAACAGCCAGAGCCACCCACCCTTCCTGGACATATATTGTGGTGCAGGGGTGTGCTCTCTGCTCCACACTCAAGCAGATCTCCAAGTATTTGGAGCACCCATTCACCTGGCTTAGCAGCCTGAGCCACCCCACCCTTGCCACACATAGTTCTTGATGCAGTTTTCTCTGCTCGATGCCCAGTCTGACCTTCAGCCATTGGAGCACCTGTTCTCTTGGTTCAGCAGCCTGAGCCACCCCACCCTTCCTGCACATAGTTCTTGGTGCAGTTCTCTCTGCTTCATGCCTAGTCAGATCTCCAGATATTTGGAACACCTGCTCACCAGAATCTGCAGCATGACCAGCCCCACCCCTCTTGTGCAGAGATTTTGGTGCAGGAGGACCCTTTCTGACACACTCAAGCAGATCTCCAGGCATTCAGAGAATGTGCTTGCTTCATCAAGCAGCCTGAGATGCCCCATCCCTTCTGTGCAGAGATCTTGCAGGGTGTCATCTCTGCTCCACACCTAGGCAGATGTCCAGGCACATGGAACGCTTGTTTGCCTGTTTCAGCAGCCTGAGAAGCCCAATCTCCTTTGTGCAGAGATCTTGTTGCAGGGTGGCCCTCTCTGCTCCACACCCAGGCATATCTCCAGGCACCTGGAGCGCCCACTCTCCTGGATTATAAGCTTAAGATGACTCCCATCCCTGTGTAGAGAACTTGGAGCTGAGGAGGTTTGCCAGCTCCAAGCCTAGGCATGCCATTGGGTGCCTGGTGACCACTCACTGGTTTATCCCTTGGCACTGGTGCTTGTGCCTGCCATCAGAGGACCTGCAGGTGGACATACCCAGTCTGGCCGCTCCTTTTGTGGCTCCTGCTCTCCCATGCCTGAGGAAAGAGCTCTGACCACTGTGCATTCTATAAATCAACCCATTGCCTGAGGCAACAGAGAGCTTCTGCCAGTAACAATGATCAAGTATATACCCACATATGTTGCTCACAGCCAGCTCATAACTATAAATGTCATTTACAGGCTTGTTGGATAAACTGCACAGCCTAATATAAACTGTGCCAAAAGAAGTGCATAGTGCTATAGAAGCTAAGCCAAGAGACTCTACCAAGCATTCTCTAGTCGCACCCCATAAGAGGGGAGTGAAAGGGAAAGAAAAAATATTAATAATGAAATAATAACAACATTATAAGAAAACAAAGAAAAAGAAAAAAATCCTACCTGCACAGACGTATTTACAGAAATTAGAAGTGCCAGCACCTCCAAATGAGAAGGAACCAGCACAATAATTCTGGCACCATAAAAAATCTGAATGAAGTTATACCACCAAAGGATCACACTAGCTCTCCAGCAATAATCCCTAAACAAAATGGAAATTCAGAAATGACAGATAAAGAATTCAAAGCATAGATAGCAAAGAAGCTCAATGAAATTCAAGACAAAGTTAAAAATCAACATGAATAAATTTCTAAAGCAACCTACGAAAGAAAGAAAGAGATAAACATCTTAAAAAGAAATCAATCAGAGTTTCTGTAATTGAAAACTCACTTAAAAATTGTTAAGACACAATTGAAAACTTTATTAGTAAACTGGGTAAAGCAGAAGAAATAATATTAGAGTTTGAAGACTGGTTTTTTGAGCTAAACCAGTCTGACAAAAATAAAGAGAAAATAATTTTAATAAATGAGGAGGGTCTTCAAGAAATATCTTATTATGTAAGGTGACAAAACATACAGATTATTGGCAATCCTGAGAGAGGTGGGGGAAAAGCAAACAAACAGGAAAAATATATTTTAGGGAATAATTCAAGAAAACTTCCCAATCTTGCTAGAAAAATAGACATCCATATACAAGAAATCCAGAGTACACCTGTGAGATACTATACAAAATGAACTTCACCAAGGCATATAGTCACCAGACTGTCCAAGGTCAATGCCAAAGAAAAAAATCTTAAAGACTTCTGTAGAGAAAAGACAGATCAAATACAAAGGGAGTGACATCAGGCTAAAAGTAAATTTTTCAGCAGAAGCTTTACAATCCAGGAGATATTGGGGGACTATTTTCAGCATTGTATAAAAAAACTAAATTTCAACCAAGAATTTATATCTTGCCAAACTAAGCTTCATAAGTGAAGGAGAAATGAAATATTTTCCAGACAAGCAAATGCTAAGGGAATTTGTTAACACTAGACCAGCATTACAAGAGATTTTTCAGGGAGTTCTAAACATGGAAACAAAAGAATGATACTGACTACCACAAAAACACACTTAAGTTAATAGCCCGTAGACCCTATAAAAAGCATAAACAAAATAGAAACTACAAAGCAAAGAGCTAACAAATTCACAATAGAATCAAAACCTCACGTATCAGTATTAACCTTGAACACAAATGATCTAGACACCCCATGTAAAAGACGAAGAATGACCAGTTGGATAAAAAACCAAAATCCATTCATCTGCTGTCTTTGAGAGACCTATCTCACACAAAATGGAACCCACAGGCTCAAAGTAAAGGATTGGATGAAGAAACACCAATGCAAACAAAAAAACAAAAAGAGCAGGGGTCACTACTCTTATATCAGATAAAACAGACTTTAGACCCACAACAGTAAAGAAGGTCAAAGGAGGGCATTATATAATGACAAATTAAAGAAGATGACTTAATGATTCTAATGATATACACATGCAGCATTGGCTCACCCAGATTCATGAAACAAGTACTTTTAGATGTACAAAAAGACTTAGACATATACACAATTACAGCAGTGAACTTCAACACCCCACTGACAGAATTAGATAGATCATTAGGAAGAAAACTAGCAAAGAAATTCTGGACTTAAACTTGATGCTTGACCAATTGGACCTAATAGACATCCATAGAATACTTCACCCATCAACCACAGAATATACATTCTTCTCATCTGCACATCAAAGATAGTCCAAGATTGTCCACATGCTTGGTTGCAAAGCAAGTCTTAATAAATTTAAGAAAATGAAATTACACCAACCATACTGACAGAACACAGTGGACTAAAAATAAAAATCTATACCGAGAAGATCTCTCAAAACCACACAGTTCCATGGAAATTAAACAACTTGATTCTGAATGACTTTTGGGTAACAACAAAATCAAGGAAGGAATTTTTAAAAAATCTTTGAAATAAACAAAAATAGGGATACAACATACCAAAATCTCTGGGATGCAACAAAAGTGGTGTTAGGAGGAAAGTTTACAGTGCTAATTGCCTACCTCAAGAAGTTAGGACAATCTCAAATTAGTAATCTAATATCACACCTAGAAAAATTAGAAAAACAAGAACCTCAAAGCTTACAGCAGAAAACAAAAACTGATCAGATTGGAACTGAACATAATTGAGATCCAGAGATCCACAGAAAGAATCAATGAAATGACAAGTTGGTTCTTGGTAAGGATAAACAAGATCAATTGACTGCTAGCTAGATTAACAATGAATAAGAGAGAGAAGATTCAAATAAGCACAATCAGAAGAAACAAAGGTGGTATTACAACTGATCCCACAGAAATGCTTCTGTATTTCCACAGAAGTATTTCTGTGGGATCAGTTGTAATACCATCCTCAAAGACTATTATGAACACCTCTGTGCACACAAACTAGAAAATCTAGGGACATGGATGAAACTGGAAACCATCATTCTCAGCAAACTATCGCAAGGACAAAAAACTAAACACCGCATGTTCTCACTTATAGGTGGGAATTGAACAATGAGAACACGTGGACACAGGAAGGGGAACATCACACACTGGGGACTGTTGTGGGGTGGGGGGAGGGGAGAGGGATAGCATTAGGAGATATACCTAACGCTAAATGACGAGTTAATGGGTGCAGCACACCATCATGGCACATGTATACATACGTAACAAACTTGCACGTTGTGCACGTGTACCCTAAAATTTAAAGTATAATAAAAAAATTAGAAGATCATAAGTAAAGAGAAGATAAATGATGAAAAAAATCTAAAGAAAATGAATAAATTCCTGGAAACATACAATCTTCCAAGATTGACTCAGGAAGCTATTGTAACCCTGCACAGACCAATATTGAGTTTCAAAATTGAATCAATAATAAAAGACATCCCTATAGAGTACATCTGGAGGCTTAAGAAGGCAGGTTTTATTTTGTCTTGTTTTTGCTTGTTTTTGTTTTTTGTTTGTTTGTTTGATTGTTTTTTGCACTGAAAACCCAAGATGGCAAGCAATGCCCATCTTGAGTAGTCTAGAGACCCCAAGCAGCATGAGTAAGGGTTGCTAATGCTTCATTTAGAAAGGAGTGGGCCTGGTAACATTGAAGGAAGTACTTGTTGGATGATTAAGGATACAGCCTTGAGGGCTTGTTGGTGAGGCAGGCCACATTTATAACAAGCAGGCACACAAGTAATAAAATTTGTAAATGGAAATACAGCACCTGAAAAGTCCAAATAGACCTAAGAAAGCTCTTTAATGAGTATTTAGATGTCCCCATTGAAAGAATGTCATCAATATAATGTCATAGCTGAAATCTTGGCAGCAATTAGATGTGATTCAGGATTTGTCTGCATAGTCTATGTGTGATAGCTAGACCTTTCACATGTCATGGGGAGCTGAGTAAAGCTGTACTGTTCCCTTTTGAAGAGATATGTGACTTGAGGTTGGGAGGCTATTGAAAGAGGTGATGAATAGGACATGTCAGTTAAATCTATAATAGTAAATTATTTTCCAGCAGCCTTGTTGTATTGAATTTGTTATTTCAGTAATGTTTGGATTCAGAGTTTTATGGGTGCCACTATGATAGGAGGCATTATAATGATTCATTCAGGTGCCACTCATTTTTATTTTGTCTTAATATAGGTCAAATGGGTCAAGTAAAGGGGAAACCACTGAAATAATGAGCCCTTCCTTCAGTAAGTTGAATAGTCTGGTATCTAATTTGGTAATCCTTATTAGTTAAAATTGTGACAAATATATAGGGTCTGATTTAGTGAGATTGACCATTAGATCTGAGAATTTAATTGTATATAATTTATTGTATCTGTTTGGGACCTTAGATGTAAAACAAATTATTTCCCCCTTCCTTTATTATGCAATCTTATGATAAGCTCTGAATTATAATCTAGGGATTTTTATTTGGCAGAATAAAATATGTGTCATTATGACAATTATTACTTTCTTTATTCCTAGCAATTTCTTCTTTATCTTTTGTAATTTAGAATATTTAGGGGATTTTAATTTTAACTTTTTCCCCTCTAGAGAATTCCAATGTAGATCAAGATATTGCAATGGAATTGAGGACAGCTACAGAAACAGAAGTACTTTTGACCTTAGAGCACTCTAATTAACCATCTGCAATTGGCAGCATGGACTCTAAATGCCTTATAGTAACTCTTCATCATAAGAGGAACCATCTGGGGAATACTTTGTCCCTTTGCAGGAAATGTTCGGGAAATGCAGAGAGCAGTGCCTGGCCAAGACACCCGACTGTGGCCCTACTCTCTCCAACAAATGGGCCTGGCATCTCTAAGGATGTGGTTAGGGGTAAGGCTCCTTAGCCTTTATTCCCTTTTTTGCTTTCCCAACTCTCTCTGGCGTCAAGCTCCTCAGCCCTGTTCCCCCACATGTAATGTCAAGCTTAGACCTGCTAAATTTGGGGCAAGGGCTTGGTAGAAGGCAGCAGAATCGACATAGAATGGTATAGCTCAAAGCACAAGCACATCAGCTATTGATTGACTCTGTCCAAACCCACTGAGCTGTGAAATGAACCCAGCTTGTAAGCCATAAGCAAGAGAAGAAAAATCCATTGCACTCATGGTCTTTGTCCAGGCATCCTTCTCTGCTTACTTTGGCAATTGTTTTATTTGGGTGTCTAGGCTCCCCTGCTTGACACCAGGCAGCCTGGCCACCAAACCCGGGAATTTATCTAGATGTGGGGTAAATGACATATATACATTAATAGATAATAAATAAAGCTTATTACTCACATCAGAAATAGCAAGAGGATTTCCCAAGAAGGGCACAAATTCTGTACAAAGGGAGAGACTATTTTTGAATATGACAGCTTCTAGGTCCCCAACCCTTCCCACACCCCTTTGCCTTACAGGTAGACAACAAGGTAAAAAAAAAAATCTGAACACTTCCTTTGTCCCTTGCTTTTGGCAGAAATTTCAAACTACACAAGACTTGGCCTCTTTATCCTGGCCTCACCTCCCCAGTCACAATAAAACTCCATAGCTCCCATTACCTATACCCTTGCTCTTGAATTGAATTTTATCAATAAATCTAAATTCTGCCTGGTTGCACTCTGGATCAAACCTGAGCCCTTTTCACATTAAAAAGAAAAAAGACAAGCCAAAGATAGGGGGGAATATTTGCAAATCACATTTCTGACAAAGGACTTGTACACAGAGGATATAAATAACTCTTAAAACTCAACAATAGGAAACAAATCACTCATCACAAAATGGACAAAAGAACTGACAAATACAGAAGATACAAGAGTGGCAAATAAGCATATGAAAAGATGCTAAACATCACTATCCATTAGAAAAATTCAAATAAAGACATCAATGAGATACCACTACACATCTATTGCAAGATCTGAAAGCAAAGCAAACAAACAAAAAACTGGAAATATCAAATGCTGTCCAAGATGTAGAGCAACTGAAACTCATACACTGCTAGTTGGAATGTAAAATAATACATCTGTCAAAAATGTTGTGGTAATTACCTAAAAACTTAAACACATCTACTATATGATTCAACAAGTTCATTCCAAGGCATGTACTCCAGACAAATGAAGGCATATTTTCAAAGTCTTGTACATAAATGTTTAATTAAGTGCTATTCACTGTAGCAAATACATGCATTTAACCTATTTGTCCATCAATGGACAAATGAATAAATAAAATGTGGTATATATACACAATGGAATACTATTTCACCATAAACAAGAATAAAATTATGTCATTTGCAGCAACATGGATAGAACTGGAAGTCACTATGTTAAATTAAATAACCCAGGCAAACAAAGACAAATATCACCTTCTGTTACTCATATGTGGAAGTAAAATATTTGGTCTCATGGAGGTATTGAGTAGAATGATAGATAACAGAGGCTGGGAATGGTTTATGAGTTGGGGGAGATGAAAAGAGGTTTGTTAATGGATATAGACATAGCATTAAATTGAAGGAATAAGTTCTGGTGTTTCATAACAGAGTAGGGTGACTATAGTTTAATGGCTGACTAGCATTCCATGGTGTATATATACCATATTTTCTTTATCCACCCATTGATTGATGGGCATTTGGGCTGGTTCCATATTTTCACAATTGTAAATTGTGCTGTGATAAATATGCATGTGCAAGTATCGTTTTTGTATAATGACTTATTTCACCTGGTTAGATACCTAGTAGTGGGATTCCTGGATCAAATGGTAGTATACTTTTATTTCTTTAAGGAATCTCCACCCTTTTTTTTTTCATAGTGATTGTACTAGTTTACATTTCTACCAACAGTGTAAAAGTGCTCTCTTTTCACCACATCCGCGCCAACATCTATTATTTTTTTATTTTTTTGTTTTGGCCATTCTTGCAGGAGTAAGGTGGTTGATTCTTTATAGTTTTTTAATACACACTGCCTGATATACAATAAAACATTACTAGACCTGTGAATGAGGCAGAAAAATTTGCCTTTCAATCATTACAAAAATAAACAACTGATGCATAGCCACAGATACAAATATTGGAGTTAGTAGAAAAAGATTATAAAATAATTACAGCTAGAGTAAAAAAAATATGAACAAAAGGAACAAAAAGATGGGAAAATTCAGCAGAAAATCAGAATCTATTAAAAAAATTAACATTCTAGGCAAAGCAATCCCAAGCAAAAAGAATAAAGGTGAAGTCATCACACTACCCAACTTGAAACTATACCATAAAGTCACAGTAACCAAAACAGCTTGACACTGGTACAATAACAGACATACAGACCAATAAAACAGAATAGAAAACTCAGAAATAAAGCCACAAACCTACAACCATCTGATCTTTGGCAAGGCTGACAAAAACCAGCAATAAAAAAAGGACTCCCTATTCAGTAAATGGTGTTAGGATAACTAGCCATATGCAGAAGACAGAAGCTGGACACCTACATTTTACCATTTACAAAAATTAACTCATAATGGATTAAAGATTTAAATGTAAGACCTCAAACTACAAGAAATCCTGAAAGACAATCTAGGAATACGCTTTTGGACATTGATGTTGGCAACGGCTTCTTGGCTAAGTACCCAAAAGCAATTGTAACAAAACCAAAAATAGACAAGTGGAATATAATTAAACTAAAGAGTTTCTGCAGAGGAAAAGAAACTATCAACAGAGGAAATAGACAACCTACAGAAAGGGAAAAGGTAATCACAAACTATGCATCTGACAAAAGCCTAATATTCAGAATCTAGAGGGAACTTAAATCAAAAGCAAAACACAGATAACCCAATTAAAACATTGCCAAAGGGCATGAAGAGACACTTCTCAAAAGAAGACGTAGAAGAGGTCAATGAACATATGAAAAAAATGCTCAATATCATCAATCATCAGAGAAATGCAAATCAAAACCACACTGAGATATCATCTTATACCTGTCAAAATGGCAATTTTTAAAAAGTCAAAAAAAATAAGAATGAAAACAGATGATGGCCAGGCTGTGAAAAAAAGGGAACACATATACACTTGGTGGGAATGCGAATAAATCAAGCCACTGTGGAAAGCAGTCTGGAAATTTTTTAAAGAATTTTAAGCAGAACTACAAGTAAACCCAGCAGTATCATTACTGTGTATATACTCTCCCAAAATAAATCATTCTACCAAAAAGACACATATACTTGTATGTTCATCACTGCACTATTCACAATAGCAAAAACATGGAAGCAAGTCAGGTACCCATCAGTGGTAGCTTGGATTATGAAAATATGGTACCCATGCACTTTGGGATACTACACAGCCATAAAAGAGAATGAAATCATGTCCTTTGCAGCTACATGGATAGAACTGGAGGCTATAACCTAAGCAAATTAATGCAGGAACTGAAAACCAAATATAGCATGTTCTCATTTACAAGTGGGAGCTAAGCATTAAGTGCAAATGAACATAAATATGGAACAAATAGACACCGTGTACTACTAGAGGGTGAAAGGAGGGAAAATAGGTTTAAAAACTACCTATGAAGTACTATGCTCACTACCAAGGTGAAAGTATCCATACTCCAAACCTCAGCATCACTCAATATTTCCATGTAACAAATCTGTACAAGTACCTTCTGTATCTAAAATAAAAGTTGAAATAAAAATAAATTAACATTGTAGATCTAGAAAAACTTGATACTTGAAATTAATAATTCACTGGATGGGAATAGTAGCAAACAGAACAAAACAGAAAATACAACTAGTAGACTCTACAGACAAATATCCAATGTGAAATACAGTGGAAAAAAATAAAAAGAAAAGTGCAGAGTGAAAGAAATATATGCCACAAAATTTCTAATATACCTGTAAGGAGAGAGAGAATGTAATAGAAGGAATCTTTAAATAGACTATGGCTAAATGTTTTCTAAAACTGAAGACATTATCTAACAGTTTCTAGAAGCTCAGCATTGGTCTGCGCAACTATTATTTGAATATCAACCCAAAACCACAGACAATGAAAGCAAAACTAGACAAATGTGAGTAGATCAAACTAGAGTTTCGGCACAGCCAAGAAAACAAACAATTGAGTGAAGAGAAAACATGCAGAATGGGATAAAGTATTTGCAAACTGTATCTCTGATAAGGGCTTAATATCCAAAATATATAAGGAACTCGAATGACTCTTTAGGAAGAAAAAGTGGGCAAAGGATCTTAATAGACCTTTCTCAAAAGGAGACATAGAAATAGCCAACAGAGGAAGAATTAGTATTATTCAAATGTCCATTCTACCCCAAACAATTGACAGATTCAAAGCAATTCCTATCAAAAGATCAATGACATTCTTTACAGAAATAGAAAGCCAATCTTAAAATTTATATGGAACCACAGAAGACCCAAAATAGCCAAAGCTACTTTGAGCAAAAAGAGAAAATCTGGAGGAATTACATTATCTGACTTCAAATTATACTACAGAGCTATAGGAACAAAAACAGCATGGTACTGGCATAAAAGCAGACACATAGACCAGTGGAACAGAATTGAGAACCCAGAAAAAAATCCACACATTTACAGTGAACTCATTATCCCCAAAGGTGCCCAGACATATGCTTTGGAAAAGATAGTCTCTTCAATAAATGGTGCTGGGAAAACTGGATATACATATTCAGAAAAAAGAAACTAGACCCCTATGTCATACCATATACAAATATCAAATCAAAATAGATTAAAGACTTAAACCTAAGACCTCAGGCTATTAAACTACTACAAAAAAACATTGGGGAAACTCTCCAGGACATCAGTCTGGGCAAACATTTCTTGAGTAATGCCTCACAAGCACAGGCAACCAAAGCAAAAATGGACAAATGGGATCATATCAAATTAAAAAGCTACTGCACAACAAAGGAAACAAGAAACAAAAATAAGAGACAACCCACAAAATGGGAGAAAATATTTGCAAACTACTCATCTGACAAAAGGTTAATAACAAGAATGTATAAGGGATTCAAACAACTCTATAGGAAAAATCTAATGATAGGATTAAAAATGTGCAAAAGATTTGAATAGACATCTCTCAAAAGGAGACATACAAATGGCAAACAGGCATATGAAAAGGTTCTCAACAACATTGATCATCAGAGAAATGCAAAGAAAAACTATGGTAAGATATTCCACACTCCAGTTAAAATGACTTATATCCAATAGACAGGCAATAACAAATGCTGGCGAGAATGTAGAGAAAAAAGAACCCTTGTGCACTGTTGGTGGGAATGTAAGTTAGTACAACCACTATGGAGAATAGTTTGGAGGTTCCTCAAAATAACTAAAAATTGAGCTACTATATGATCCAGCAATTCCACTGCTGGGTATATAACCCAAAGAAAGAAAATCAGTATATCAAAGAGATATCTCCACTCCCATGTTTGTTGCAGCACTGTATACAATAGCCAAGATTTAGAAGCAACCTAAGTGTTCATCAACAGATGAATGGATAAAGAAAATATGATGCATACACACAATGGAATATTACTCAGCCATAAAAATAATAATATCCTGTCATTTGCAACAAGATAAATGGACCTAGAGGTCATTATGTTAAGTGAAGTAAGCCAGGCACAGAAAGACAAACATCACATGTTCTCACTTGTTTGTGAGATCTGAAAATTAAAACAATTGAACTCATGAACATAGAGAGTAGAAAGATGGGTACTAGAGGCTGCTAAGAGTAGTGGGATGGCAGAGTGGGGGAAGTGAGGATGGGTAAGAGGTACAAAAATAGAAAGAATGAATAAGACCTGCTATTTGATAGCACAACAGGGTGGCTATAGTCAATAACAACTGAATTGTACATTTTAAAATAACTAAAATACTATAATTAGTTTGTTTGTAACACAAAGTATAAATGCTTGAGAGGATGGATATCCCATTCCATGATGTGATTATTACACATTGCATGTCTGTAGCGAAACATCTCATGTACCCCGTAAATATATACATCACTACATACCCACAAATATTAAAAATAAAAAATTTAAATTAAAAAAGGAGATGGGGATATAAATGAGTGAGGAGTAAGTAAAGGAATTGCAAGAAAAAAACCAAGCTATAAAAATATACACATAGGGTGAATGAAAATACCTTTAAGTTTACTATGACTTTTGCTTAAAACAGTGCTTCTTGATTAAATATTCAGTAAAGTGCCTCTGTGGTAGATTTCAAAGTTTTTCTTATCTTGCTGTCAAGTTGTAGCAGTCATGGAGACTTTTTTTTTTTTTTGCAGGGTGGTCTCAAACTCTTGACCTCCTGATCCTCCCACCTCGGCCTCCCAAAGGTCTGGGATTACAGGCGTGAGCCACCACGCCTGGCCCTGTTATCCCCATTCTTTTTTTTTTAATGTATTATTATTATACTTTAAGTTTTAGGGTACATGTGCACAATGTGCAGGTTAGTTACGTATGTATACATGTGCCCTGCTGGTGCGCTGCACCCACTAACTCGTCATCTAGCATTAGGTGTATCTCCCAATGCTATCCCTCCCCCCTCGCCGCACCCCACAACAGTCCCCAGAGTGTGATGTTGCCCTTCCTGTGTCCATGTGTTCTCATTGTTCATTTCCCACCTATGAATGAGAATATGCGGTGTTTGGTTTTCTGTTCTTGTGATAGTTTACTGAGAATGATGATTTCCAATTTCATCCGTGTCCCTACAAAGGACATGAACTCATCATTTTTTATGGCTGCATAGTATTCCATGGTGTATATGTGCCACATTTTCTTAATCCAGTCTATCATTGTTGGACATTTGAGTTGGTTCCAAGTCTTTGCTATTGTGAATAATGCCGCAATAAACATACGTGTGCATGCATCTTTATAGCAACATGATTTATAGTCCTTTAGGTATATACCCAGTAATGGGCGAAGGACATGAACACACTTCTCAAAAGAAGACATTTATGCAGCCAAAAAACACATGAAAAAATGCTCACCATCACTGGCCATCAGAGAAATGCAAATCAAAACCACAATGAGATACCATCTCACACCAGTTAGAATGGCAATCATTAAAAAGTCAGGAAACAACAGGTGCTGGAGAGGATGTGGAGAAATAGGAACACTTTTACACTGTTGGTGGGACTGTAAACTAGTTCAACCATTGTGGAAGTCAGTGTGGCGATTCCTCAGGGAACTACCTTATTCTTATAAAGGATGCTTAGAGCTAGACTACTCAGTTGGAAAATATTGAATGCTTTCCTCTTGACATCGAGAACAAAACATGGATGGCCACTATTACCACTTCTAATCAACATTGTGCTTCAGATACTGCTCACTATAACATGGCAAAGTAAATAAAAGTAAAATCTGGTCAACCTAATAAGCAAGAAAAATAAGTAAAATGTATAAAGAGTAGAAAAGATAAACAAAATTGTCTTCATTCACAAATGATATAATTATGTACAAAGACCAGAAATAATCTACAAAGAAACTTTTGGAATTATTAAACAAATTTAGCAAGACCTCTGGATAGAAAATTAATATACACATTCAATTGTATATCTTATATTAGCAAGAAACAATTGGAAAATGAAACAACTTTTACCATGGCTTCAAACCACCATAAGCACCTATAAAATATCTGATAAAATGTGCAAGACCTTTATACTAAAACTATAAAGCATTGATGAGGGAATTTTAAAAGACCTAAACAAATTGAGACATGTGTCACAATTATGGATCAGTAAGCTCAATAATGTTAAGATGTCAGTTTCCCCCAAATTGAGCAATAGGTTCAATGCAATACTAATAAAAATACCAGTAGCATTTTCCATGGAAAACTGACAAGCTAATTCTAAAATTTACAGGGAACTGCAACGGATTTAGAATAGCCAAGAATTCTTGAAGAAAAAGAACAAACTTCTTATGGAGTTACAGTAATTAAGAGAATGTGGTATTAGTGTGAAGATAAACCAATTGTACAGAAAAGACAATTCAAAAATATGTCTACACATATGTAGTGTCCTGATTTATAATATATCTCTACTACAATTCAATAAAGTAAAAGATGACCATTTCTCTCTCTTATTTATTTATTTATTTATTTATTTATTTATTTATTTATTTTGGGGCAGGGTTTCACTCTGTCACTCAGGCTGGAGTGCAGTGGTGGGATCACACAGCAGCCTCTAATCCCTGGGGCTCAAGCAATCCTCCTGTCAGTCTGCAAACTAGCTAAGACTACAGGCTTGTGCCACCATGCCCGTCTATTTTTTATATGTATTTATTTATTTATTTATTTATTTATTTATTTATTTATTTATTTATTTTGAGATGGAGTCTCGCTCTGTCACCCAGGCTGGAGTGCAGTGGCTCGATCTCGACTCACTGCAAGCTCCGCCTCCCGGGTTCACGCCATTCTCCTGCCTAAGCCTCCTGAGTAGCTGGGACTACAGGCGCCCGCCACCACGCCCGGCTAAGTTTTTGTATTTTTAATAGAGACACGGTTTCACTGTGTTAGCCAGGATGGTCTCAATCTCCTGACCTCATGATCCACTGGCCTCGGCTTCCCAAAGTTCTGGGATTACAGGCGTGAGCCACCGTGCCTGGCCATGCCCGTCTATTTTTTAAAAAAAATTTGTGGAGACATGATCTTGCTGTGTTGCCCAGGCAGGTCTCAAACTCCTGGCCTCAAGCAATACTCCAGCCTCAGCCACACAAAGCGTTGGGATTGCAGGCATCACCCACTGCCTCCAGCCACATTTTACTTAATGTTTTTGGATCAATTGTATATCCATGGGGATGAAGTGAGCCTTGACCCCATGCTTTACACTGAACCAAAAATTAATTCGAAATGGATAATAGACATAATTGTGAAAACAAAATATATAAAGCTTCTAGAGGAAACTTTAAGAAAATATTTTCATGAACTTGAGGCAGGTAAAAATTTATTAAACATGATAGAAAAGAATTAACCATAAGAGACTGATACATTAAAATTAAGAACTTCTCTTCATCAAAAGACTATTATGAGAGTAAAACGGCAACCACAGAATGGAGGAAATACTTGTAATACATAACATCTAATAACAAACTCATATGCAGAATGTACAAATAATTACTACAAATGAATAAAGAAAATACCCACCCAATTAAAAATTGGCAAAACATTTAGACCATTCACAAATTTCTAAATGGCTAATAAGAATTTGAAAATGTTCTCAGTATCATTAATTAGAGGAAAAAAAACAAATTAAAGCCACAATGTAACAGTTTTATAATTGATTATGATGGTGGTTACACAAGTCTACACATGGAATAAAATTGCATAGAGCTATACACACGTACACACACATGCACAAAGGAATGCATGTAAGAACTGGTGAAATCTGAGTAAGGTCTCTAGTTGACAGTATTAAATCGATGTGAATTTCCCGGTTTTGCTATTGTACTATAGTTATATAAGATATTATGACTGGAAGGAAACGGTGAAAAAAACATAGTTGTCACTTTGGGAGGCCGAAGCGGGCAGATCACGAGGTCAGGATATCGTGACCATCCTGGCTAACATGGTGAAACCCCATCTCTATTAAAAATACAAAAAAAAAAAATTAGCTGGGCGTGGTGGCGGGCGCCTGTAGTCCCAGCTGCTGGGGAGGCTGAGGCAGGAGAATGACGTGAATCCAGGAGGCGGAGCTTGCAGTGAGCCGAGATCGCGCCACTGCACTCCAGCCTGGGCAATAGAGGGAGACTCCGTCTCAAAAAAAAAAGAGTTGTCCGTACTATTTTTACAACTTCCCTATAAGTCTACAATTATTTCAAAATAAAAAGTTTGAAAAAATACAATATAAAATAACTACACACCCACCAGAATGGCTAAAATTAAAATGGCTAACAATATCTAGTGCTGTTGAGAATGAGGAAAAACCGACGACTATTATACATTGCAGATAATGGTGTAAATTCATATGATCACTTTGGAAAACTGGTAGTAGCTAGTAAAGATAAACACATGCATACCTCATGACCCAGAATTCACTATGTACCCAAGAGAAGTTTGATCATATGCCCAACAAAACACTTGTATAATAATAACAGCTTTATTAATGATAGCCCCAAACCAGAAAATATAAAAGTTTAGCAACAGTGAAAAGCATAAATTGTGGTATGTACACAAAGTGCAATAATATATATTAATAAAAACAATTAACTACTGCTACACACAATAACATAGCTGACCCTCTGACATAATGTGTCAGAGAATTCAGACACATACATACATACATGCAAAAGAATACATATAATCCATTTATATTAATTTAAAGGAGAGGTGATAAGCAATGGAAATCAGAAGAGTGGTTCCCTCTGAGGGTATGTGTTGACTAGGAAATGCATGAAGTTGTCTGTGATACTAGAAATCTTTGAAGTGGTTGTTATGTGGGTATATGCATATGTAAAAGTTCATCAAATTTTACCTTAAGATTTGTGCCCCTTACTATATGTATGTTATATCTCAATTTAAAAATAAAATGATAAACTAATGGGCTAAAAATAAACTTGGAGAAAACATTCACAATACATATATCTGATAAAGGATTTGCATCCAGGGTATTTAAAGAACTTCTGCAAATCATTAGTAAAAGTCACACCACCAATTTAAGAAGTGGACAAAAGATTTGAACAGACACTTCACAAAAGATACACACAGGCAATAAGCTCGAGGAATGTGCTTATCATTAGTCATCAGGAAAATGCAAATTAAAGCTATAAGGATATACCATCTTACACCCACAAAAACGTCTGAAGTAAAGACTAACAATACCAAATGTTGACAAGGATGTAGAGAAACTAGGACTCACATATATTTCTGGTGGGAATGTAAAATGGCACAACTTTGGGACACTGACAGTTTTTAATACGTTCAAACATACACTTACTCCATGTTGAGCAATTCCATTCCTAGGCACTTACCCAAGAGAAATCAAAACATATGTCCACAAAAGACTTGTACAAGACTGTTCTTGCAGCTTATTCATAAATGCTCCAAAAAAAATAATCCAAATGTACATCAGCAGGATGATGGATAAACAGACAGTGGTATATTCATTCAATGGAATACTGCTTAAAAATAAAAAGGATGACCAATGATAAGGATGAATCACAATATCATGTTGAACAAAAGTGGAACACAAAAGAATAAACACTCTATGACTCCATTTCTAAAACAGGCAAAATAAATCTATGGTGATGGAAATCACAGTGATGGTTGCCTCTGGTGTGAAGGATAATTAACTGGAAATGGGTAAGTGGGAGCATTCTGGGGGTTATTGGAATGTTCTATATCTTCATTTGGGTGGTGAGTATATATGTGTATACAGTTGCCAAAACCCACCAAATTGTACATTTATCTATGAATTTTATTGTAAATAAATTATACCTCACTTAAAAAATCAAGAAAGAGGAAGACATAAGACTCAGGAAGCAGGGGCTCTAACATGACAAAAAAGTGAAATAATTTTCAACGTGGTGGCAAAGAGAAGTTCAAGAATTTTGGCTGAGTAGCAGGCCCAGAGAGAAACCAGTCCAGATAGAGGGAAAACAGTGGTCTCTGGGAGGAAGGCTTCCCATAAAAACTGGAATTGGTGTATTGCCCGAAGTATTTGATCACTTGGAAAATTATATTAATGTATAACGAACCTGACAGAGCATGAGAAAGTAATTAAGAATATATACACAGATCCCCAAACAAGAGAAAACATTGAGCAAGTACTATCTCCAGGGGAAAATTAAAACATAATAAACATAATAATGGTACATAACTTGGCTCCACAGAAAATGCTTATATGGTCATAATAATATTAACACTAGCCATTGATTTTTTTAAATGTTATATAACTATTTTGGGAGGATGAGGGCAGGGCAAGTGTGTGTGTGTGTGTGTGTGTGTGTGTGTGTTGTAAGAAATTTCATCGACTATAACAGGAAATTGACAGATAGTTGTGGAAATGAAAACTTTTAGAAATAGTACATCATTTACAAATATGAAATTAGAATCCAGAAAAAACAAGTAAAATAGCAGAAAATGATTATGTTTTGGGAGCAGAAATCGGGGTTTTATAGAATTGGGAAGAGCTCTTTATTATTATTATTACTTAATACTAATTGTGCACATATTTCCAGGTTTAAAATACATATTAACTTTAAAAGAAAGAAAGAAACTATTGTAAGTAGAATAATGCCCCCCAAAAGTGTCCATGTTCTAATCCCCTGAATCTGTGACTATATTGTTACATGGTAAAGAGAAATTAAGCTTGTAGATGAAACTAAGGTTGGTAATGAGCTGACCTTAAGATAAAGAGATGATTCAGAACTGTCTGGGTGGGTCTAATGTAATCAAAAAACTCTTTTTATTATTATTATTATACTTTAAGTTTTAGGGTACATGTGCACAACGTGCAGGTTTGTTACATATGTATACATACGCCATGTTGGTGTGCTGGACCCATTAACTCATCATTTAACATTAGGTATATCTCCTAATGTTATCCCTCCCCTCCCCCTCCCCCCACCCTGGTGTGTGATGTTCCCCTTCCTATGTCCATGTGTTCTCATTGTTCAATTCCCACCTATGAGTGAGAACATGCAGTGTTTGGTATGGGCAAGGACTTCATGTCTAAAACACCAAAAGCAATGGCAACAAAAGCCAAAATTGACAAATGGGATCTAATTAAACTAAAGAGCTTCTGCACAGCAAAAGAAACCACCATCAGAGTGAACAGGCAACCTATAGAATGGGAGAAAATTTTTGCAATCTACTCATCTGACAAAGGGCTAATATCCAGAATCTACAATGAACTCAAACAAATTTACAAGAAAAAAACAAACAACCCCATCAAAAAGTGAGTGAAGGATATGAACAGACACTTCTCAAAAGAAGACATTTATGCAGCCAAAAAACACATGAAAAAATGCTCACCATCACTGGCCATCAGAGAAATGCAAATCAAAACCACAGTGAGATACCATCTCACACCATTTAGAATGGTGATCATTAAAAAGTCAGGAAACAACAGGCACTGGAGAGGATGTGGAGAAATAGGAACACTTTTACACTGTTGGTGGGACTGTAAACTAGTTCAACCCTTGTGGAAGTCAGTGTGGCGATTCCTCAGGGATCCAGAACTAGAAATACCACTTGACCCAGCCATCCCATTACTGGGTATATACCCAAAGGATTATAAATTGTGCTGCTATAAAGACACATGCACATGTATGTTTATTGCGGCACTATTCACAATAGCAAAGACTTGGAACCAACCCAAATGTCCAACAATGATAGACTGGATTAAGAAAATGTGGCACATATACACCATGGAATACTATGCAGCCATAAAAAATGATGAGTTCATGTCCTTTGTAGAGACATGGATGAAGCTGGAAACCATCATTCTCAGCAAACTATCGCAAGGACAAAAAAACTCTTAAAAGTGGAAATTGGGGCAGGAGAAAGCGGGTAATGTGAGGTGCGAATGACTCAACTCACTATTGCGTGCTTTAAAGGAGAGGAAGAGGTCATGAGCCAAGGAATGTGGGAAGCCTCTAGAAGCTGAAAAGGTAAGGAAATTGAGTCTCTTCTAGGGCCTCCAGAAGGGAATACAATGCTGTATAATACTGTGAATATCTTGACTTTAAGTCGGTGAGACCCATGTCCAACTTCTGACCTATATAGCCATAAGATTGTAAGTTTGTGTTGTTTTAAGCCAAAAAAAAAAAAAGTGTGAACATGTTGCATTAACAATAGAAAACTACTACAGTGACAGGCACCCAAAACCCTAGGATAAATATCGCATATTTTCTTATGTACATTGAATTGATCTTGTATTTTCTCATCTTATCTTTAATAAGGATTAGCTCCCAAACAATATACTGCAAAAATGCCATTAATACAAACAATGCTGACCAAAGCCATTGAGGCAGTCATATACATATCTATTTCATAATGACAGTGACATTCTCGTCAATAGAAGTAATTGGTTGTGGCATAAAATTATTCCAGATTTATATACAAGATTAGCCCACAATGGTTTCTAATTTATGCAAAACCTAACTACTGTAATAATTTACTAATAGTTTATGTCATTATAATGGATTTATTATGAAAGAAGTTATTTCTACATGATCACCCAACAAATGTGTTACTCTCAATTGTTTTTCATCAATGCTTAGTGCAAAACCACCATTATATTATTACTATTATTATTATTATTATTCTATACTTTAAGTTCTGGGATACATGTGCAGAACATGCAGGTTTGTTACATAGGTATACATGTGCCATGGTGGTTTGCTGCACCCATCAACCCATCATCTACATTAGGTATTTCTCCTAATGCTATGCCTTCCCCAGCCCCCCACCCCCCCACCCCCCAACAGGCCCTGGTGTGTGATGTTCCCCTCCCTGTTTCCATGTGTTCTCATTGTACAGCTCCCACTTATGAGTGAGAACATGTGGTGTTTGGTTTTCTATTACTGTATTAGTTTGCTGAGAATGATGGTTTCCAGCTTCATCCATGTCCCCGCAAAGGACATGCACTCATCCTTTTTTATGGCTGCATAGTATTCCGTGGTGTATATGTGCCACATTTTCTTTATCCAGTCTATCATTGATGAGCATTTGGGTGGTTCCAAGTCTTTGCTATTGTGAATAGTGCTGCAACAAACATACGTGTGCATGTGTCTTTGTAGTAGAATGATTTACAATTTTGGGGGGTATATACCCAGTAATGGGATTGATGGGTCAAATGGTATTTCTGGTTTTAGATCCTTGAGGAATCACCACATTGTCTTCCACAATGGTTGAACTAGTTTACAGTCCCACCAGCAGGATGTTCAAAGTAGAAATTTTAATAATATCATGACATACATGAGAAAGTTTATGTACTTGATCATTTTGGAAGCAAGGGTTATTCAAGAATGCTTCACTTTATGTTGTATGTGCTTCCTGTAAAAATGCATCTTTAATCTGGACACATTTTGGCATATAAAAAGGTTTCAATGCAACCTGGCTAGAATAGACCATTTCAAGATTATTGTTAAGTGAGGTTCTTATGAGCTTCAATAAATTAATAACTATGGACAACTTTTTCAGGACATTTTAGACAAAAAAGTTGACTATGTAGTGATCGTACGTCAACAAATTTAAAATAAAAAATTTATATCAATTATTTATGTATTATGTAAGCACCTAAATTTGCTGTTTGGATAAATTTATTATTCCAAATTATTGTAATTAAATAGCAAATATTGATTTTATATGGAATGTTTTCTATATCTCTCTAAATTCCAAGTAAATTGATCCTATTTCTTCTTGCTTCCAAGTCCCTATCATCTTTTTAGGTAAAAATCTCTAAAGTTGCATTTTTTAAATTAGTAATATCTTCTAAAATAGTTCTACTTTAGGACCGTGTATACCAGGTTATAAAGGTAAAGCAGGCAAACGACCAAGCTGAGGTAAAAAACAAAATGACTGTTGAAAACTCTGAGGGAAGGAACTACTTCATATACTTTTTTATAGTCAGAAAGTAAGTGATCAGTTGATGTAACTATATTCTTATAGTATTTAATGCTCCTGCTAGCCCTATGAGGTCAGAATATTATTTACCCACATTACTCTCAGTTTACAGATAAGGAAACAGTGGTTATTTGCAGACATTTACTCTTCCATATGAATTTTAAAACTCATTTAGATCAGTCTCAAGGAAAGGTACATTTAAGTTATGATTGGAACTCGACTAAACTTAAAAAGTATTGACCTGTTATTGCTAGCATAGAGAAAGAATATCACTACATAAAGATTGATATATATGCAGCCTGAATTTCAACAGTACAAAAATTGGAAGTGATCTGAATGATCATAAATAATGGGATCACTGAATACTTCATGGTGTATTAAAACTACAGATTCTTGCGATGCTAGTGGAAAGAGTGCATGAAACCTCTATTTCTTGACCTAGATGGATATTCAAAATACTTTTATTGCTACATAATACTTGTACATATTGATGTGGATATGTGATATTTTGATACAAGCATACAGTGTGTAATGATCAAGTCAGGTTGGGTGAGCTATCCATCACCTCAAACTTTTATCATTTATTTTTGTTGAGAACATTTCAAATCTTCTCTTCTAGTTATTTTGAAACATATAATAAATTAGCAATAACTGTAGTCACCTTACTGTGCTACCTAACACTAGAACTTGTTGTTTCTATTTAACTGTGCTTTTGTATCCATTAAACAACCTCTCTTCATCTCCCATCTTACCACTCTTACCAGCCTCCAGTAACCACCATTCTACTCTCTACCTCCATGAGAAAAACTATTTTAGCCCCCAAATATGAGTGAGAACATGTGATGTTTGTCTTTCTGTGCCTGGTCTATTTCACTTAACACGATGATCTCCGGTTCCATCCATGTGACTGTAAATGACAGAACTTTATTCTTTTTAAGACTGAATCATATTCTATTGTGTATATATCCCTCATTTTAAGTTATTTTTAAATTTTATTTTAGGTTCAGGGGTACATGTGCAGGTTTGTTAATAAAGGCAAACTCATGTCATGGGGGTTTGGTGTACAGATTATTTTGTCACCCAGGACTAAGCATAGAACTTGATAGTTATTTTTCTGGATTCTCTCCCTCCTTCCACTCTCCTGTCTCAAGCAGGCCCTGATGTTTATTGTTTTCCTTTTTGTGTCCATTGTGTCTCATTATTTAATTCACACTTATAAGTGAGAATATGTGGTATTTGATTTTCTGTTTCTTCATTATTTTGCTAAGGATAATGGCCTCCAGCTTCATCCATGATTCTGCAAAGGACATGGTCTCATTCTTTTTTATGGCTGCATAGTATTCCATGGTGTATATGTACCACATTTTTAATACAGTCTACCATTGATGGACATTTAGCTTGATCCTATGTCTTTGCTATTGTGAAGAGTGCTGCAATGAACATACATGTGCCTGTCTCTTTATGGTGGAATGATTTATATTCCTTTGGGTATATACCAAGTAATAGGATTGCTGTGTTGAATGGTAGTTCTGGTTTTAGTTATTTGAGGAATTGCTACACTGCTTTCCACAATGGTAGAACAAATTTACATCCCAGCCTCAGTGTATAGCATTCCTTTTGCTCTACAACCTTACCAGCATCTGTTGTTTTTGGCTTTTTAATAATAGCTATTCTGACTGGTGTGAGATGCTATCTCATTGTGATTTTAATTTGCATTTCTCTAATGATTAGTGACAGTGAGCATTTGTTCATATGTTTGTTGGCCACGTGTATGTCTTCTTTTGAAAAGTGTCTGTTTATGTCCTTTGCCTACTTTTTAATGAGGTTGTTTGGTTATTGCTTGTAAATTTGTTTAAGCTCCTTATAGATGCTGTATATTAGACCTTTGTCAGATGTACAGTTTGCAAATATTTTCTCTAATTCTGTAGGTTGTCTGTTTGTTAATAGTTTCTTTTGCTGTGCAGAAGCTCTTTAATTAGATCTCATTTGTTTGTTTTTAATTTTTCTTTACCCATTAATACACATTAAAGTTGATTCCACATATTGGCTATTGTGAATAGTGCTGCAATAAACATGGGAGTGCTGATATCTCTTTGATATACTGATTTCCTTTCTTTCTTTTGGATATATACCAGCAGTGGGATTGCTAGATCATATGGTAGTTCTATTTTTAGTTTTTTGAGGGAACTCCATATGGTTTTTCATCATAGCTGTACTAATTTTCATTCCCACCAACAGTGTGTGAGAGTTCACTTTTCTCCACATCCTTTCCAGCATTTGTTATTTTTTAACTTTTTGACAATATCCATTTTGAGTGGGCAACATGATATCTCATTATGAATTGGATTTAGATGAATTGAATTTCATTCAATTTGCATATCTCTGATGAATCATGATGTTCAGTAGCTTTTTTAATATACCTGTTGGCCATTTGTATGTCTTCTTTTGATGAATATCCATTCAGATCAATTGCCCATTTAAATTGGATTATTTGTTTTCTCGCTGTTGAGTTGTTTGACTTGAATTAAGTTAATATTCTGGTTATTAATCCTTTGTCAAATGAATAGTTTGCAAATATTTCCCCCATTCTGTAGGTTGTCTCTTCACTCTTTATATTGTTTCCTTTGATATTCAGAAGCTTTTCTGTTTGATGTAATCCCATTTCTTCATTTTTGCTTTTGAGGTCTTACTTGAATTGTTTTCCCAGACCACTGACTTGAAGTCAGTGGTCTCTAATATTAGAAATTCTCTAATATTTAATTTAAATATTAGAAATATTTAAATTAAATATTAGAAATTCTCTAATATTTTCTTCTAGTAGTTTCATAGTTTGATGTGGTACATATGTCTTTAATCCCCAAAA
Organism: Homo sapiens; assembly: GCF_000001405.40. NCBI lineage: Eukaryota > Metazoa > Chordata > Mammalia > Primates > Hominidae > Homo > Homo sapiens. The sequence continues at coordinate 85,659,184 of NC_000023.11, read as the reverse complement.
TATTTTATTAAGTACAAAAGGCAATTTGAAGAGTCATGTGTATAGTTGGTATGATGCTATTTTTGTAGGAGAAAGTTGTGGCAAAGAACATACCAGACTTGAGATATTGGTTAACTCAGTGGAGATGGGTGTAAACAGGAGTTAGGGGAAGATTATTGTTTATTGAATACTTTTTTTACACATGATACCTTGATCATATACTGCTTTTGTAATTAAAAAAGAATAAATACATAATGTATTTTTAAAACTATAACAAACAGCAAAATATTGCAGTGACTTTATATGCGTGATGGATTATGTTTGCTTATACTTGCACGTTTTTAACTTTGGCCATAGGGGTAATAATGGAAAAGAGAAAGAATTTGTATTTCATTTCAGACATAAGGATAATAGTATTTGAGAAAGTATAGGTAGTTTTTCCACAAGTGAGAGTGGGGTAATAGACAAGGAGATAACAAACATAGGATGTGTTCAGGAAAATTGATTGCAAGATGTGTATTTAAAAATTGGTAGTAAAGAATTGTAAATAGATGTGCACTCAATATCAGGGAATCTAAATCTATAAAGTAAATATTAACAAATCTGAAGAGAGAAATAGACAACAAATATACCCGTATTAGTCTGTTCCCATGCTGTTATAAAGAGCTACCTGAGACTGTGAAATTTATAAATAAAAGAGGTTTAACTGACACACAGTTCTACCGGCTGTATAGTATGCATGGCTGGCAGGCCTCAGGAAGCTTGCAGTCATGGCAGGAGGTGAAGAGGAAGAAAGCACATCTTACCATAGTGGAGCAAGAGAGAAAGAGAGCAAAAGCGGAAGTGCAACACACTTTTAAACCATCAGATCTCATGAGAACTCACCCACTATCATGAGAACAGCAAGGGAGAAATCTGCCCCCATGATCCAATCATCTCCCACCAAGCCCCTCTCCTGACACATGGGAATTACAATTTGACATGAGGTTTGGGTGGGGACATGGAGGCAAACTATATCATTCCACCTCTGGCCCCTCCAAAATGTCATGTTCTTCTCACACTTTAAAATCAATCTTGTCTTCCCAACAATCACACAAAGTCTTAACTCATTCCAGCATTAACTCAAAAGTCCAAGTCCAAAGTCTCATCTGAGACAAGGCAATTCCTTTCTACCTATGAGCCTGTAAAATCAAAAAACAAGTTAGTTAATTCCAAGATACAATGGGGTACAGGCACTGGGTAAATGCTCCCATTTCAAAAGAGAGAAACTGGCCAAAACAAAGGGGCTACAGGCCCCAGTCAAGTCCAAAACCCAGCAGGGCAGTCATTAAATCTCAAAACTCCAAAATAATCCCCTTTGACTTCATGTCTCACATCCAGAGCATGCCAATACAAAGGGTGGGCTCTTAAAGTCTTGGGCAGCACCACCTATGTGGCTCTGCAGGGCACAGCCCTCATAGCTGTTTTCATGGGCTGGTGTTGAGTGTCTGTGGCTCTTCCAGGTGCATGGTGCAAGCTGTTGGTAGATCTACCATTCTGGGGCCTGGAGGATGGTGGCCCTTTTCTAACAGCTCCACTTGGCAGTGCCCCAGTGGGGACTCTGTATGGGGGCTCTAAGCTCATATTTACCCTCTGCACTGCCATAGCAGAGGTTCTCCATGAGGTCTCTGCTTCTGCAGAAGACTTCTGCCTGGACATCCAGGCATTTCCATACATCCTCTGAAACCTAGGCAGAGGTTCCCAAACCTCAACTCCTGTCTTCTGCACACCTGAAGGCCCAACACCATGTGGAAGCTGCCAATGCTTGGGGTTTACATCCTCTGAAGCAATGGCCCAAGCTTACCTTCACCCCTTTTAGCTATGGCTCGAGATGGAGCAGCTGGGACACAGGGAACCATATGATGAGGCTGTATAGATCTACTGCGCCTAGAATGTGGCCCATGAAACCATTTTTTTCTCCTAGGTCTCAGGGCATGTGATGGGAGGGGCTGCAATGAAGGTCTTTGGCATGACCTGAAGAAACTTTCCCCCACTGTCTTGGCTATTAACATTTGGCTCCTGTTTATTTATGCAAATTTCTGCAGCTGGCTTTAATTCCTTCCCAGATAATGGGTTTTTCTTTTCTACCACATCGTCAGTCTGTGAATTTTCCAAAATTTTATGCTCTGCTTCCCTTTTAAATGTAAGTCCCAATTTCAGACCATCTTTTTGTGACAGCATATTACTGCATGATGTAAGGAGCAGCCAGACCACATCTTGAACACTTTGCTGCTTAGAAATTTCTTCTGCCAGATACCCTAAATCATCTCTCTCAGCTTCAAAGTTCCAACAGATCTCTATAGCAGAGGAAAAATGCCACCAGTCTTTTCGGTAAAACATAGCAAGAGTGACCTTTACTCCAGTTCCCAATAAGTTCCTCATTTCCATCTGAGACCAACTCAGCCTGGATTTCATTGTCCACATCACTATCAGCATTTTGGTCAAAACCATTCAACAAGTATCTACAAGGTTCCAAACTTTCCCACATCTTCATGTCTTCTTCTGACCCCTCTAAACTGTACCAGTCTCTGCCCTACTCCCAAAGTGGCTTCCACATTTTCAGGTATCTTTACAGCAGTGCCTCACTCTTTTGGTCCCAATTTTCTGTATTAGTTTGTTCTCACATTGCCATAAAGAACTACTTGAGACTGGGTAATTTATGAAGAAAAGAGGTTTAATTTACTCACAGTTATGCAGGCTGTATAGAAAAAATCGCTGGGAGGCCTCAGAAAACTTACAATCACAGCAGAAGGTGAAGGGAAACAAGCATGGCAGGGCAGGAGAGAGAGATAGCGAAGGGGGAAGTGTCACACACTTTTAAACCATTAGATATTGTGAGAACTCATTCACCTTCACAAGAAAAACAAGAAGGAAATCACCCCCATGATCCAATTACCTCCCACCAGGCCCCTCCTCTGATACATGGGGATTACAATTTGACATGAGATTTGGGTGGGAACACAGAGCCAAGCCACACCAATACAATTTTTAGTAATGGATAGATCATCCATACAAAAAATTAATGAGGAAAGATTGAACTTGAACTATACTTTAGATCAAATGGACTTCACATATACAGAACATTCTATCCAACAGTACCAGAATTCACATATGTCCCAAGTACACATGGAACATTCTTCATGATAGATCATGTGAGGCCACACAACAAGTCGTAACAAATTTAAGAAGTTTGAAATCATATCAAACATCTTTTTCAACAACAAGTATGTAAAACTAGAAGTTAATAACAGGAAGCAAACTGAAAATTAACAAATATGTGGAAATTAAAATCACACTCCTTAACAACCAATGGGTCAAAGAAGAAATTAAAAAAAAGGGAAGTTAAAAGATATCCTGAAACAGGTGAAAATGGAAATACAACATACCAAATCTTATGGAATGCAGTGAAAGCAGTCTTAAGAGGGAAGTTGATAGTGATAAATGGTTACATTAAAAAAAGATAGAGACCTTAAATAAACAACCTAACTTTATACTTCTGAGAACTAAAAAAGAACAAGCTTAGCTTAAAGTTAGTAGAAAGAAGGAACTAACAAAGATCAATGCCAAAAATAAAGGAAAGACAGAAAAACAATTTACAAAACATTAATAAATCTAAGCATTGATTTTATAAAAAAAATTGATAAACCTTTAGCTAAATTAAGAAAAAAAGGACTCAAATAAATGAGATCATAAATGAAAGAGAAAACATTACAACTGATAGCACGGAAATACAAAGTATCACCAGAAACTACTATGAACAATTATTTGCCAATAAATTATGTAACCTAGTAGAAGTGAATAAATTTTTAGAAACATACAACTTACCAAGACTGAATCATGAAGAAATAGAAAGTCTCAACAGACCAACATCAAGTAAGGAGATTGACTCAGTAACCAAAATTTCTTATCAAATAAAAGCCCAGGACCTGATGGCTTCACTGGTGAATTCTACCAAACATTTAAATAAGAGCTAGTATTGATTCTCAAACTCTTCTAAAAATTGAAAAGGAGGGAACACTTACAAACTCATTTTACAAGGCCACCATTATTCTGATACCAAAGCCAGACAAGCACATTCCAAGAAAAGAGGATTACAAGCCAATATCTCTGATAAACATAGATGCAAAAAATCCTCAACAAAATACTAGCAAAGTGAATTCAGCAACACATTAAAAGGATCATACAACATGATAAATTTGAATTTACTCCTGGGATGTAAGTATGTTTCAACATACACAAGTCAGTAAATGTGATACATCACATAAACAGAATGAAGGACAAAAGCCTTATTATTAAATCAATAGGTGCAGAAAGAAGAATTTAACAAAATTCAGCACTCTTTTATGATAAAAAGTCTCAAAATATTAGGTATAGAAGGAACGTACCTCAAAATAATAGACACCATATATGACAAACCCACAGCTAACATAATATTTAACCGTGCCAAGTTGAAAGCCTTTGCTCTAAGATCAGGAACAAAACAAGGATACCCACTCTCACAACTTTTATTCAGCATAGAACTAGAAATCTTAGCCAGAGCAATTAGGAAAGGAAAAGAAATGAAAGTCACTCAAATATAAAGGAAATAATTAAAATTGTATCTTCAGATTACTTAATCTTATATAAAGATAACCCTAAAGACTCCATCTAAAACTATTAGAACTAATGAACAAATTCAGTAAAGATACAAGACGCAAAATGAACATACCAAAATCAATTGTGTTTCTATACACTAATAACAAACTAATTGAAAAACATTAAGCAAACAAGCTCATTTACAATAGCATACAAAAATAAAATACTTTTAGAAGCAGGTTTAACCAAGGAAGTGGAAGATCTGTACAATGAAAACTATAAAGCACTGATGAAATAAATTGAAAAAGACACCAATAATTGAAAAGATATTGTGTGTCCATGGATCAGAAGAATCAATATTTTCAAAATGTTTATACTACCCAAAGCAATCTATAGGTCAATTAAATCTTAATGAAAATTCCAATTGCATGTTTTACAGAAATAGAAAAAAAATTCTAAAACCACAAAAGATTCCAAGTAGCTAAAGAAATCTTGAGCAAAAAAAGTAAAGCAGGTGGCATCATACTTGTTTATTTCAAATTATACTACAAAGCTACAACAATAAAACAGTATGGTCCCAGCATAAAAACAAACACATAGACCAATGGAACACAATAGGAAGTCCAGAAATACATCCATGCATATTCAGTCAACTAATCTTTGACAAAAGTGCTGAGAATATAAAATGAGGAAAGAGTAGTCTCTCCCATAAATGATGCTGGGAAAACTGAATATCCACATGCAAGAAAAATAAAATTGGATCATTTTCTTACTCCATACACAAAAATAAACTAAAATGGATTAAAGACTTGAAATAATAAAACTTCTAGAAAAAACCATAGAGGAAAAATTCCCTAACATTCATCTTAACAATAATTTCTTGGATATGACAGCAAAAACACAGACAATAAAAGCAGAAATAAACAAGTGAAACTACTTCAAACTACGAAGTTTCTGCACAAAAATGAAACAATAAACAGAATAAAAAGCAACCTATGGAAGAGGAAAAATCTTTGCAAACTATTTATCTTATAAGAGGTTAATGCCCAAAATATATAAGCAACTCTTACAACTCAATAACAAAAAAACAAACAAAGCAAAACAAAAACAAAAACAAAATAGCCGGATTTTATATGGGCAAAGGCACTGAATAGACGTTATTCCAAAGCAGACATACAAATGGCCAACAGGTATATGAAAAGGTGCTGAACATCACTAACCATCAAGAAAATGCATATCAAAACCACAAGCTATCACTTCACACCTGTTTGAAAGGCTTTTACCACAAAAAGATAACAAGTATTGGTGAGGATGTGGAGAAAAATGAACTCTTATGCATTGCTGGTGGGAATGTGAATTGGTACAGCCATTATGGAAACAGTATGGGGGCTTCTCAAAAAATTAAAAATGAACTATTATATGATACAGCAATCCCACTTCTGGTTACATATTGAAAAGAAATAAAAATCACTATCTCAAAGAGATACCTTCACTGCCATGTTCATTTCATCATTATTTACAATAGCTTACAAACTAAGTGCCTGTTCACAGATGAACAGATAAAGAAAATATGGAATATATACACAATGAAATACTGTTCAGCTTTTAAAAAGAATGAAATCCTGCCATTTGCAAAAACATGGATGAACCTGGATGACATTATGCTAAGTGAAATAAGTCAGACAGAAAGTCAAATACACATTATCTCATTTATATGTGGAATCTGAAAAACTCAAACTCAAAAAAAAAAAAAGAGTAGAAGGGTAACTACCAGGGGTTGGGGGGTGAGGGAGATAAGGAGGTATTAGTCAAAGGGAACAATTTCTCAGTTATAAGGTAAATAAGTTCTGGAGACCTAATGTATAGCATGGTGACTATAGTAAATAATATTGTATTGTATACTTGAAATTTGCTAGGAGAGTAGCTCTTAAGTACACTAATCACACACACACCAAAAAAGTAACTACATGAGGTGATAGATATGTTAATTGACTTGATTGTGGTAATCATTTTACAATGTATATGTATATCAAAACATGAAGTTGTACCCCTTAAATACACATAATTTTTATTTGTCAATTATATCTCGCTAAAACTGAGAAAAAATAAAAACTTTTAAAAATGTCAGAAAAGAAAAGAAAAAAGGATGATAATAGCTTGAAAGTATTGCTGCATCTACGAAATGTGTTTTGGAATTAAGAGAAACTGAAAATGTTTGCAAGCAGAAGAGAAGCTGAGATTGAAGATCAGATTTGAGAATCAATAACTCATTGGAACAAGGTATAGAGGATGCAGTTAGAGGTGGCATCAGGACATAAGTAGAGGGGTAACTTTGGCAAAGGGGGTGCACTTTCTCAAATACAAAAGAAAAAGAAAGCAGGAATACAGAGTAATTTTTAAGATTGGGAGAAAGATATTGAGAGAGATGTCATATGGGAAATATTTAATTTTTTCATAAATAAAGAGGCAAGAAAAGAATAAGGCTAGGGTGGGGTTGGGTACTTTGAAGGAAATGGAGAAGGTTTGGAACCAGTACAATGAAGGAGACCGCAGAGAATTCCCAAAGATGCTCAAAGGAAATTGTAAACAGTAGGAAAAGTCTAGCTGAGATAAGAGCACAAAATCAGGATGGTTTTTGCAACTTTTCTAGCAAAGCCCTTTGCCTAAGAAATAAGAGTGAATGGCAAACATCATCTACAGCTAGAAATGAGCAAATTTGGCAGAGATGACTGGTTGTCTCCTTCTCTGTTGTAGTAATAAAGTCCATTACTTTTAGCTGGACACAGGAGTACCCAGAATAAAGTTTTATTTCCTAGTTTCCTTTCCAACTAGATATGGCCATGTAACTCCATTCTGACTAATGAGATGTGAGCAGAAGTGATGCACACAAAGTCCAAGTTGTGTCCTTAAAGGGGACAGTTATGCTTTCTCCTTTTTCCCACTTCAAGCTGGTACTAGATGGAATGCAGACATAGGGTGGAAATTTTTGGACTATGTGGATGAGAAGAATATCTTAAAGACAGTAGACCATGAAAATAGAAATAATTTGAACTCCATCATGACTTTATAGAAGAAGACATACTAACTTAAATATTTACATAAAGGTGAAATACACTTATATCTTGTTTAGAATGCTGTTACTGTCTGTCTCTGTCACGAAAATCCATATTTACATCCTAGAAAGTTAGTGAGCCAGAAATTAAAGGATATTCTATGGTGAAAATAATAATAATGGTGGGAATGAGGCAGCAGGGAGTTACTTAAACTTTCTGAATCTAAATTTCCTAATCTTTAAAATGAGCATAGTATTAGTACATACCTCACAGTGTTGAGATAATTAAATGAGACAGTGTACATAAAGCACCTAACAGGGCTTAATACATAGTCAGTGCTCAAAAAATAGTTCCTATTATTATTGCTGTCATAGTGAAGATTAAATAAAATAGTGCATGAAATATGCTTGGCATATTGTAAGTAATTGGTGGTAGCTTTTGTTTCTGACCCTTTTTTTTAATTTTATTATTATTATACTTTAAGTTTTAGGGTACATGTGCACAACGTGCAGGTTTGTTACATATGTATACATGCGCCATGTTGGTGTGCTGCACCCATTAACTCGTCATTTACATTAGGTATATCTCCTAATGCTATCCCTCCCCCCTCCCCTCACCCCACAACAGTCCCCGGTGTGTGATGTTTCCCTTCCTGTGTCCATGTGTTCTCATTGTTCAATTACCACCTATGAGTGAGAACATGCGGTGTTTGAAAACCAGAATTATTTTGAGACTTAGGAGGGGGGCATTGAAATAAAGGTCATAATGAGGACAAAGAACAGCTTCAGTAGGAATGAGTAAGTAGAATAATTAGAACAACAAATAATTAAGGTCAGAGAGAAAGAAATTTCCATTAGAACCTGAGTTTACACATGCCCCACCGGCCTATGGGTATAAATAATTCATATTAACAACACTACTTGAATCTCCTGGCTTTTGTTCCCATACACTCATGCATGGCCTCAGTCCTCTCTAATGTGCCACCACCACCTCTTCCAAGTATTTCTAGAAGTCTGTCAGTCGTGTCTCACATGTGCTCATAAGCGCATATGCTCCCTCTTAGCACCACTGCTAATTAGCCATTTTGATGAGCTGAGCTGAGTACTGCAGTCTCTACTGTGCCCTGTGGTATCTGCTAGGTGATACTGTTACCCTATTAAGCACCAAAGCTTCCCTTAGGCACCATCACTGAAAAAATGCAGCACACCTGGTGCCAAAGCTTTACAGAAGTCTGCCATGAGGTGGAAAAGAATGCGTCTCTCTTCCTCCTATGTTATACTTTCAAAAGGAAGAAACAGTGCTGCTTTTGCCCCAGTACTTTCAGGGGTTTTAGTGAAACAGCCTTTTCAGTTTTATTTGCATCCCTACTGCATTCCATAGGCCCAGAAATGAGTATTTTAGGGGCCAAGCTAAAAGACAAATCAGAATTAGAAGCACCATATTATACTCAGAATTAAACTTCCTTTCCAAGGATTAAGGATTCACCCTAGGTCGAGGAATCATGCCAAGTTTTCTCTTCTGGTAGGCAGTTATCAAATACACTCCACAGATCCCCTGCAAATGTATTTCTGTCAGGTCATCCCACCATTTCAACAAATATAAAGAGAAAAATCTGAATTGCAGTTTAATTTTAAAATATTTTCTGTGTCTCTTCTCTTTCTTGTAGTTGGGCTGGAGTTAGCCCTTTAGACGTCTTGTTAGGACAGAAACAGTGGTTGTTGTGAAAAGGGGCCCTGGGATGGAAGGGCACAACCAAAGCAGTGGTGGATTACCTTGTAAGAAGGGCAAGCTAAGCCTGAAACCATACAGAAAATAATCTGCAGTCCAAGAGAATAAGAAAGTATACCGTATCAAGAAGGGGCCAAAGAGAGGTGTGATGGTTAGTATTGAGTGTCAACATGATTGGATTGAAGGATGCAAAGTATTGTTCCTGGGTGTGTCTATGAGGATGTTGCCAAAGGAAATCAACATTTGAGTCAGTGGACTGGGAGAGGCAGACCCACCCTCTGTCTGATTGGGCACCATCTAATCAGCTGCCAGCGTGGCTAGAATAAAGCAGGCAGAAGAAGGTGAAATAAGCAGACTTGCTGAATCTTTTGCTCTTCGTCTTTCTCCCATGCTGGATGCTTCCTGCCCTTGAACAGCAATACTCCAAGTTCTTCGCGTTTGGGGTTCTTGGACTTAAACTAGTGTTTTCCTAGGGGCTCTTGGAATTTCAACCACAGGCTGAAGGCTGCACCTCGGCTTCACTACTTTTGGGGTTTTGGAACTTGGACTGATGCACTACTGGCTTCCTTTCTCCTCAACTTGCAGACAGCCTATTGTGGGACTTCACCTTGTCATTGTGTGAGTCAATTCTCCTAAATAAACTCCCTTTCATATGTAGGTATACCCTATTATTTATGTCCCTCTAGAGAACCCTGACTAATACAAGATGTTTTGAAGTCAGGATAAAGACAGAGACACGAGTCTGGCAACAGAGAGAAGACAGCAAGTGCAGGCAGATCCAACTCAAACAGTGGAGTTCCTGAGCAATTACCTAGTTTTAGTTAATGTTTGATGCTTTGTTTTGGGGTCCAGCAAAGGCAAGATTAGTGGGTACATCAGCCTGATTTGAAGGGCCAGAAATGAGACCACATTGCCTGTTACTCCATGAATCCTTCTTGGATAAATTGGGGTGAGGTTTCCCTGTATTCACTTGATGAAAATCCCTGACATATTTTGGGACATTAAAAACAATTCCACAATATATTAGAATATTTTAAAATAAAGAGAAAGAAAAGAAGCAAACAAAACCAAACAAAATGGGCCGTAATCTCTCTGCCAAGCTAACTCTGTTGACCAATTTTTAATGTAACACATGAATTAAGTTAGTAAGTTTAAACAGTACAGAGTAATATAAAATAAAATTACTGTCTTACCTTCCAAACTTTCTCACCAAAGGTAACCATTATTAACAGTTTCTTTAATTCCAGATAAAGACATAAATATATACATATATATGTGTATGTATATATTATATATAGTTTTATAATTTCAGCTTTTCTTTTGGATTCAGGGGGTGCATGTGCAGGCTTGTTACCTGGCTATATTGTGTGATGCTGAAGTTTGGGGTAAAATTGATCCTGTCACCTTGGTACTCAGCATAGCACCAAATAGTAAGTTTTTCAGGTCTTGTCCCCATCCCTCTGTCCTCCCTCTAGTAGTCCCCAGTGTCTATTGTTGCCATCTTTAAGTCCACATGTATTTAAAGTTTAGCTCCCACTTATAAGTGAGAACACGCAGTATTTGGTTTTCTGTTCCTGCATTAATTCACTTACAACAACGGCCTCCAGCTACTACATCCATGTTGCTGAAAATGAGACAATTCTTTTTATGGCTACATAGTATTCTATTGTGTTTATGTACCTCAGTTTCTTTAGGAAATCCACCATTGATAGGCACCTAAGTTGATTCAATATGTTTGTTATTGTGAATACCGCTACACTGAACATGTGGGTGCATGTGTCTCTTTGGTAGAACAATTTATTTTCTTCTGGATACACACCCAGTAATGAGATTCCTGTGTTGAATGGTAGTTCTAAGTTCTTTGAGAACTCTCCAAACTGCTTTCCAAAGTTGGTGAACTAATTTACATCCCCACCAACAACATATAAGTGTTCTCTTTTCTCTGCAGTCTTGCCAGCTGGCATCTGTTTTTTTTTTTTTTTTGACTTTTGAATAATATCTATTCCGACTGGTGTGAGATGGTATCCCATCGTCATTTTGATTTGCATTTCTCTAATGACTAGTGGTGTTGAGCATTTTTTTATGTTTGTTGGTTGCTTGTATGTCTTCTTTAGAGAAGTGCCTATTCATGCCTTTTGCCCATTTTCATTAAGGTTGCTTGTTCTTTGCATGCTCAATTGTTTAAATTCCTTATGAATTCTGGATATTACACCTTTGTTGAATTCATAGATTCTGCATAATGTCCCCAATTCTGTAGGTTGTCTTCATACTCTGTTAATAGTTTCTTCTGCTATGCAGAAGCTCTTTAGTTTGATTAGGTCCCCTTTGTCAATTTTTATTTCACTTGCAATTGCTTTTGAAGATTTAGTAATAAATTATTTCCCAAGGCCAAAGTCTGGAATACCATCTCCTAAATTTGCTTCTGGAAATCTTATAGTTTGAGGTCTTAAACTTAAGTCTTTAATACACCTTGTTAATTATTGTGTCTGGTGAAAGACAGGAGTTTAGTTTCATTCTTCTGCATATGGCTTTCCAGCTATCCTTATGCCATTTATTGAATAGGGAGTCGTTTCCTCTTGCTTATTTTTATCAACTTTGTCAAAGTTTAGATGGTAGGTATACAGTTTTATTTCTTGGTTCTCTATTCTGTTTCATTTATCTATGTGTCTCTTTTTGTACCAGTACCATGCTGTTTGGGTTACTGCATCCTTATAGTATAGTTTCAACTCAGATAATATGATGCCTACAGCTTTCTTCTTTTTGTTCTAAGCAAAAGAGCAATTTTCTAGCCAATTACTTTGGCTATTTGTGATTTTTTATGCCTTCATATGAATTGTAGAATAGTTTTTTCTAGTTCTGTGAAAAATGATGTTCATAGCTTGATAGAAAGAGTTAAATCTGTAGATTGCTCTGGGCAGTATGGTCCTTTGAACAATATTGATTATGTCAATCCATGAGCATGGGATGTTTATCCAATTGTTTGTATCATCTGTGATTTCTTTCAGCAGTGTTTTCTAGTTCTTCTTTAAAGATCTTTCACTGCCTTGATTAGATATATTTGTAGGTATTAAAGTTTTTGCTGCTATTTCAAGTGGGATTGCATTTTTGATTTGAATATTATTGTTGTATAGAAATGCCACTGATTTTTCTATATTTTGCATCCTGAAACTTTATTGAAGTTATTTATCAGTTCCAGGAGACTTTTGTTGGAGTCTTTAGGGTTATAATTTTTTTTAGTATATAATTATAACATTTGTGAAGAGAAATAGTTTGATTTTTTCTTTTTTCTTTTCTTTTTATTTTTTTATTTTTATTTTTGACAGAGTCTCACTGTGTTGCCAGGCTGGAGTGCAGTGGCATGATCTGGGCTCACTGCAACCTCTGCCTGCCGGGTTCAAGCAATTCTCCTGGCTCAGCCTTCCGAGTAGCTGGGACCACAGGTGCGCACCACCACGCCCAGCTAATTTTTGTATTTTTTAGTAGAGACAGGGTTACACCATAATGGCTAGGATGGTCTTGATCTCTTGATCTTGTGATCTGCCTGCCTTGGTCTCCCAAAGTGCTGAGATTACAGGTGTGAGCCACCACACCAGGCCAATTTTTTCATTTTGTATTTGGATAATTTTATTTATTTCTCTTGCCTGATTATTCTGGAAAGTATTTTCAGTACTATGTTGAATAAGTGAGGTGAGAGTGGGCACCCTTGTCTTATTCCCTTTGTCAAGGGAAATACTTCCAGCTTTTGTCCCTTCAGTATGATGTTGGCTGTGGGTTTCTCATAAACGACACTTATTATTTTGAGGTGCATTCCTTCAATGCCTAGTTTGCTGAGGATTTTTATCATGAAGGAATGTTGGATTATATAAAAAGCTTTACCCATAACTATTAAAATAATCAATGGTTTTTGTTTTTAATTACAAAAACATTTATTACATTTATTGAATTGTGTATTTATGAATTACATTTATTGAATTGTGTATGTTGAACCAACCTTGCATCCTGGGAAAGAATCATAGTTAATCTTGGTGAATTAACTTTTTGATGTGCTCACTTTGGTTTGCTAGTATTTTGTTGAGGATTTTTGCGTCTATGTTTAGAATTGATATTGGCCTGTAATTGTCTTTCTTCTGTGTGATTTTGGCAAGTTTTGGTATCAAGGTGATGCTTACTTTATAGAATAAGTTAGAGAGAAGTACCTCTTCCTTGATTTTTTGGAATAATTTCAGTGGGATTGGTACCACCTCTTCTTTGCATGTCTGGTAGAATTCTACTGTGAAACCATCTGGCCCAAGGCCTTTTTTGGTTGGTAGTTTTTTTGTTTCTTTGTTTGTTTGTTTTTTCTTTCAATTATGAATACAATTTAAGAACTCAATATTGGTCTGTTGAGGGCTTCAATTTCTTCCTGATTCAATCTTGAGAGATTGTGTGTTTCTGGGAATTTATTGATTTCCTCCAGATTTCCTGTTTTTGTGCACAGAGATGTTCATAATAGTATTTGAGGATCTTTTGTATTTCTGTGGAATCAGTATTAATGTCACCATTGTTATTTCTGATTGTGCTAATTTATATCTTCTCTCTTTTTTCTTTTTAATATAGCTAGCTGTCTATTGGTCTTGTTCATCCTTTTAATGAATCAACTTTTGGTTTCATTTGTTCTTTGTATAGGATTTTTGGTCTCAGTTTTATTTAGTTGTCCTCTGATTTTAGTTATTCATTTTTTTCTGCTAAATTTGGGGTTAGTTTTTGTTTTGTTTTGTTTTGTTTTTCTAATTCCCCTGGGTGTGATTTTAGATCACTAATTTGAATCTAGCTTTTTGCAGTAAGTGCTTAGCACTATAAACTTCCCTTTTAATACCACTTTTGCTGCATCCAAAAAGTTTTTGTATGTCATGTCTCTGTTTTCATTTATTTCAAATAATTTTTTATTTCTGTCTTAATTTTATTGTTTACCCCAAAGTCATTAAGAGTAAGTTGTTTAATTTCCTTGTAATTGTGTGGTTTTCATAGCTCTTCTTGGTATTGATTTTAGTTTTCATTTCACTGTGTTCTAAGAGTATGGCTGGTATAATTTCAATTTTTATTACTTATTTTAGACTTGCTTTATGGCTGAGCATGTGGTCAATCTTGGTGTATGCTCTGTGTGCAGATGAGAAGGATGTTTTTTCTGGGGTTGATGGATGAAGTATTCTGTAGATGTCTGTTTTAACCAATTGGCCAAGACTTGAATTTATGTCCAGAATGTCTTTGTTAGTTTTCTGTCTTGATGATCTGTGAGTGCTTTCAGTGGGAATTTAGAGTGCCCCATTATTATTGTGTGGCTGTGTAAGTTTTTTTTTCTAAAGTCTAGAAGTACTTGTTTTATAAATCTGGGTGCTCCAATATTTAGTGTATACATATTTAGTATAGTTAGGTCTCCTTGTTGAATTGAACCCTTTATCTTTATGCAATGCTTTTCTTTTTCCTATTTTTAACTGTTGTTGCTTTAAAGTCTGTTTTGTCTCTTATAACAATATTGACCCCTGCTCTTTTTTGTGTTCACTTTGCATGATAGATTTTTCTTCAATCCTTTACATTGAGCCTTGTGTCAAATGGTCTCTTGAAGACAGCAGATGAATGGATCTTGTTTTTTTGTTTCTTTGTTTGTTTGTTTATACAACTTGCCAGCCTGTGACATGTAACTGTGGCATTTAGATGAT
The DNA here is from genome assembly GCF_000001405.40 of Homo sapiens. NCBI lineage: Eukaryota > Metazoa > Chordata > Mammalia > Primates > Hominidae > Homo > Homo sapiens. The sequence goes on along the minus strand of NC_000023.11, from coordinate 85,644,114 downwards.
TTACATTCAAGGTTAATATTGGTATGTGAGGTTATAATCCTACTGCAAAGTTGTTACCTGGTTGCTTTGTAGTTTCTATTATATGGTTGCTTTATAGGGTCTGTGGGCCGTGTACTTAAGTATGTTTTTGTGGTAGCAGGTATCTTTCTCTTGTTTCCATATGTGGAACTCCCTTAAGGAGCTCTTGCAAGGCTAATCTAGTGATAATAAATTTCCTTAGTACTTGCTTGTCTGGAGTAGGTTTTATTTATCCTTTGCTTATGTAGTGTATATATATAAATCATTCTATTATAAAGATACATGCACATGTATGTTCATTGCAGCACTATTCACAATAGCAAAGACATAAAATATCTTTGGAGGGATATGAAATTCTTGGTTGAAATTTCTGTTCTTTAAGAATGCTAAAAATAAGCCTCACAATCACTCCTGGCTTGAAAGGTTCCTGCTAAGTAGTCCTCTCTTAGCCTGATTGGGGTACATTTGTATGTGATCTGCCATTTTTCTCTAGCTACCTTTAAGAATTTTTCTTAGTGATGACATTGGACAGTCTGGTGGCTATATGTGTTGGTGAATTTTATTTTGCATAGTATTTCACAGGTGTTCTCTTGATTTCTTAAATCTGGATGTATACCTATTTAGCAAGATTAGGTAAGTTTTCTTGGATTATTGCCTCAAATATATTTTTCAGTTTGTTTGCCTTTTCTCTTTCTCTCTCAGGCATGCCAGTCATTGGCAGGTTTGGTTGCTTTCCACAATGTCATATTTCTCAAAGACATTGCTCATGCTTTAATTTTTTTCTTCTTTATATTTGTCTGATTGGGTTAGTTCAAAAGACTGAAATTCAAGCTCAGAAATTATTTTTTCAAAGATGAGATTTTCAACAAGCCTGGCAAAAACAAACAATAGGGAAATAATTTTCTATTTAATAAATGGTGCTGGGGGAACAGGCTAGCCATATGCAGAAAATTGAAACTGGATCCCTTCTTATCACCTTATAAAAAAATTAACTTAAGATGGATTAAAGACTTAAATGTAAAATCCAAAACTATAAAAGTCTTAGAAGAAAATCTAGGCAATACCATTCAGGACATAGGCACGGGCAAATATTTCATGACAAAATTGCCAAAAGCAATTGCAACAAAAGAAAAAATTGACAAATGGGAATTAATTAAACTAAAGAGCTGAAAGAGCTGCTGCGCAACAAAATAAACTATCATCAGGCTGAACAGACAACCTACAGAATGGGGTAAAATTTTTACAATCTATTCATCTGACAAAGGTCTAATATCCAGAGTCTACAAGAAACTTAAACAAATTTACAAGAAAAAAATAACCCCATTAGAAAGTGGCAAAATACATGAACAGACACTTTTCAAAAGACAACGTTCATGTGGCCAACAAACATATATAAAAAAGCTCAACATCACTGATCATTAGAGAAATGCAAATTAAAACCACAACGAGATACCATTTCACACCAGTCAGAATGGCAATTATTAAAAAGTCAAGAAACAACAGGTGCTGGTAAGGATGCAGAGAAAAAGAGGAACAATTTTACACTGTTGGTGGGAGTGTAAATTAGTTCAACCATTGTGGAAGACAGTGTGGCAATTCTCAAAGATCTAGAAGCAGAATTATCATTTGACCCAGCAATTCCATTACTGGGTATGTATCCAAAAAATATAAATCATTCTATTATAAAGATACATGCACATGCATGTTCATTGCAGCACTATTCACAACAGCAAAGACATGGAATCAACCCAAATGCCCATCAATGATAGAATGGATTTTTTTAAATGTGGTACACCATGAAATACTATGCAGCCTTAAAAAGGAACAAGATCATGTCCTTTGCAGGGACATGGATGAAGCTGAAAGCCATTATCCTCAGCAAACTAATGCAGGAACAGAACACCACACACCTCATGTTCTTACTTATAAATGGGAGCTGAATGATGAAAACACATGGACACAGGGAGGGGAACACCACCCACTGGGGGCATTGAGGGGGCTGGGGAAAAGGAGAGCATCAGGAAGAATAGCTAATGGATGCATGGCTTAATACCTAGGTGATGGGGGGAGAAATTTCTCAGCCCTGCTAACTGGCTGCCTGGAAATCAACTTGGTGCTGTTGGGTGGGTGCATTGTGGGTGTGAGACCACCTTTTGAGCTGTGGGTTGCATCGGAGCTGGGTGAGGCCTGTGGCTTCCAGCTTTTCCCCACTGCCCTGGTGACCTGTGTGACATAACAGAGGCAGTCATAATCCCCCTGGGAACATAATTCCATTGGCCTGGGAGCCACGACCCCATCCCCCACAACAGCCACAGGAAGCCCAGCCCAATGAGAGTGTGAGCTCAGGCTTACCTTACCCTGCACCTGCCTGATGGTCTTTGTCTACCTGCCCTGTTAGCTGAAGACAAAGAACATAACATCTTGGGAGCTCTATGGCCCTGCCCACCACCTGATCCTCCCTAAACTACCACAGCTGATGTGCTCTTGAAAGTGCTGAGAGGTGTGAAGTTAGATCACATCACAGGACTCTTTGCAGACACTCCCCAGTACCAGCCCAGAGCCCGGTAGCTCCACTGGGTGGCTAGATCTGCAAGAGAAATAACAATCATTGCAGTTCAGCTCTCAGGCAGCCCTAATCCTAAGAAAAAGGGGAGAGAACCACATCAAGGGAGTATCCCATGGGAGAAAAGAATCTGAACAGCAGCCTTTGAGGCCCAGATTTTCCCTCTGTCATAGTCTACCCAAATGAGAAGGAACCAGAAAAACAATTCTGCTAATATGACAAAGCAAGGTTTTATAACACCCCCAGAAGATTGCACTAGCTAACCAGCAATGGATCTAAACCAAGACGAAATCTCTGAATTGCCAGAGAAATAATTCAGGAAGTCGACCATTAAGCCAATCAAAAACGCACCAGAGAAAGGTGAAGTCCAACTTAAAGAAATGAAAAAAAAAAACACTGTAAGATATTAAAGGAAAAAATCTCTAGTGAAATAGACAGCATAATTAAAATACAATTACAACTTCTGGAAATGAAGGACATGCCTAGAAAATTGAAAAATGCACTGAAAAGTCTCAGCAGCATAATTGAACAAGGAAGAGGAAGAATTTTAGAGCTTGAAGCCAAGTTTTTCAAATTGACCCAATCTGACAATGACAAAGTAAAAAGAATTTAAAAAATTTAAAGAGCCTCCAAGAAGTTTGGGATTATGTTAAGTGACCAAACTGAAGTATAATTGGTGTTCCTGAGGAAGAAATCTAAAAGTTTGGAAAATATATTTAAGGGAATATTGAGGAAAACTTCCCCAACCTTGCTAGAGATCTAGACATCCAAATACAAGAAGCTCACAGAACACCTGAGAAATTCATCGCAAAAACACCATTGCCTAGGCATATAGTAATCAGATTGTTTAAAGTCAAGACAATGAAAATAATCTTAAGAGCTGTGAGGCAAAAACATCAGGTAACCTTTTTAAAAAAACACTTTCTGAACAGAAACCCTAAAAATTAGAAGGCTTTGGGGTCCTATCTTTAGCCTCCTTAAGCAAAACAATTATCAGCCAAGAATTTTGTATCCAGTAAAACTAAGCTTCATAAATGAAGGAAAGATACAGTCTTTTTCAGACAAACAAATGCTGAGAGAATTTACCACTTACCAAGCCAGCACTACAAGAACTGCTAAAAGGAGTTCTAAATCTGGGAAAAATTTATCTCCTTAAAGCATACATCTCATAGGACCTATAAAACAACAACACATTAAAAAAAAAACAAGGTTTTTCAGGCAACAAATAGCATGATGAATAAAATAGTACCTCAGATCTCAATACTAACATTGAATATAAATGGCCTAAATGCTCAACTTAAAAGATACAAAATGGCAAAATGGACAAAAATTCACCAACCAAGTATCTTCTGTCTTCAATAGACTCACCTGACACATAAGGACTCACATAAACTTAAGGTAAAGGGATGGAAAATATATGAAAACAGACACCAAAAGTGAGCAAAAGCAGCTATTCTTATATATGACAGGAAAAACATTAAAGCAACAGCAATTTAAAAAGACAAAGAGGGACATTATACAATGATAAAAGATATAGTCCAACAGGAAAATATCACAATCCTAAATATGTGTGTGTGTGTGTGTGTGTGTGTGTGTGTGTGTGTGTATAACATTGGAGCTCCCAAATTTATAAAACACTTACTACTAGACATAAAATGAGATAGACAGCAACACAATAATAGTGGAGAACTTCAATATTCCACTAACAGGAGAACTTCAATATTCCACTAACAGCACTAGACAAGTCATCAAAAAGATAGTCAGCAAAGAAACAATGTACTTAAACTATACCCTAGAACAAATGGACTTAACAGATATTTACAGAACTGCAGACTATACATTCTATTCATCAGCACATGGAACATTCTCCAAGACAGACCACATGATAGGCCACAAAACAAGTTTTAACAAATTTAAGAAAATCAATCTTATAGCAAAAACTTTCTCAGACTACAGTGGAATAAAATTAAAAATCAACTCGAAAAGGAACCCTCGAAACTATGCAAATACAAGGAAATTTAATCTGCTCCTGAATGATCATTGAGTCAACAATGAAATCAAGATGGAAATTAAAAAATTTTTTGAACTGAATGATAATTGTGACATAACATATAAAAACTTCTCAGATACGGCAAAAGTGGTGCTAAGAGGAAAGTTCATAGCATTAAATGTCTACATCAAAAAGTCTGAAAGAACACAGATAAACAATCTAAGGTCACGCCTCAAGGAACTAGAGAAACAAGAACAAACCAAACCAAAACCCAGCAGAAGAAAAGGAATAACCAAGATCAGAGCAGAACTAAATGAAATTGAAACAAAAAAATACAAAAAATAAATGAAATAAAAAGCTTGTTATTTGAAAAGATAAACAAAATTGATACACCATTAGTTAGATTAACTAAGAAAAAAACAGAAGATTCAAACAAGCTCAATTATAAATGAAACAGAACACATTACAACCAATACCACAAAATACAAAAGATCATTCAAGGTTACTATGAACACCTTTATGCACGCACATAAACTAGAAAACCTAGAGAAAATAGATAAATTCCTGTAATTACACAAACCTCCTAGATTAAACAAGAAAGAAATAGAAACTCTAAACAGACCAATAACCAGCAGCAAGACTGAAATGGTAATTAAAAAGTTACCAACAGAAAAAAGTCCAGGGCCAGACGGATTCACAGCTGAATTCTATCAGACATTCAAAGAAGAACTGGTACCAATCCCATTTACTCTATTCCAATAGATAGAGAAAGAGGGAATCTTCCCTAAATCATTCTATGAAACCAGTATCACCCTAATAGCAAAACCAGAAAAGGACATAACAAAAAAAGGAAACTACAGACCAATATCCTTGATCAACATAGATACAAGAATCCTCAACAAAATACTAGCTAACCGAATCCAACAAGATAGCAAAAAGATAATCCACCATGACCAAGTCAGTTTCATACAAGGGATGCAGGGATGGTTTAACATACACAAGTCAATAATTGTGATGCACCACATAAACAGAATTAAAAACCACATGATTATCTCAATAGATGGAGAAAAAGCATTTCACAAAATCCAACATTCATTTATGATTAAAACCCTCAGCAAAATTGCCTTAGAAGGGCCATACCTTAAGGTAATAACTTACTCTCTCTCTCTCTCTCTCTCTCTCTCTCTATATATATATATATACACACACACACACATATAAAACAAACTAACAACCAACATAATACTGACCAGGGAAGAGTTGAAAGCATTCCGCCTGAGAACTGGAACAAGACAAGAATGCCCACTTTCACCACTTTTATTCAACATAGTACTGGAAGTCCTAGCCAGTGCAATCAGACAAGAGAAAGAAATAAAAGGCATCCAAATCAATAAAGAGAAAGTCAGACTGTCGCTATTTCCTGATGACATGGTAGCATACATAAAAAATCTGAAAGACTCATGCAAAAAGCTCCCAGAACTGACAAATGTTTCAGCAAAGTTTCAGAATGCAAAATTAATATACACAAATCAGTAGCTCTGCTATACACCAACATTCACCAAGCTGAGAATCAAATCAGGAATTCAACCCCTGATACAATAGCTGCAAAAAAAAAAAAAAAAACATAGGAATATACTTAACCTAAAAGGTGAAAGACCTCTACAAGGAAAACTACAAAACACTGCTGAAAGAAATCACAGATGACAGAAACAAATACAAACACATCCCATGCTCATGGATGGGTAGAACTGGTATTGTGAAAATCACCATACTGCCAAAAGCAATCTACAAATTCAGTGCAATTCCCATCAAAATACCACCATCATTCTTCACAGAACTAGAAAACACAATCTCAAAATTAATATAAAACCAAAAAAAGAGCCAGCATAACCAAAGCAAGACTAAGTAAAAAGAACAAATCTGGAGGCATCCCATTACCAGACTTCAAACTATACTATAAGGTCATAGTCACCAAAACAGCATGGTACAGGTATAAAAGTGACATTTAGACCAATAGAACAGAATTGAGAACCCAGAAATAAAGCTAAATACTTAGAGTCAACTGATCTTTGACAAAGCAAACAAAAATATAAAGTGGGGAAAGGACACCCTTTTTAACAAATGGTGCTGAGATACTTGGCGAGCCACATGTAGAAGAATGAAACTGAATCCTCATGTCTCATCTTTTACAAAAATCAACTCAAGATGGATCAAAGAATTAAATCTAAAACCAAAACCATAAAAATTATAGAAGATAACATTGGAAAAACCCTTCTAGACATTGGCTTAGGCAAAGACTTTATGACCAAGAACCCAAAAGCAAATGCAACAAAAACAAAGATAAATAGATGGGACTTAATTAAACTAAAAAGCTTCTGCACAGCAAAAGGAATAATCAGCAGAATAAACAGACAACCCACAGAGTGGGAATAATTCTTCACACTCTTTACATCCAACAAAGGACTAATATCCAGAATCTACAAGGAACTAAAAAAAATCAGCAAGAAAAAAAACTTAACAATTCCATCAAAAAGTGAGCTAAGGGCATAAATAGACAATTCTCAAAAGAAGATATACAAATGGCCACCAAACATGTGAAAAAATGCTCAAATTACTAATTATTAGGGAAATGCAAATGAAAGCCACAAATGCAATACCACTTCGCTCCTGCAAGAATGGCCATAATAATAATAATAATAGATATTGGTGTGGATGTGGTGAAAAGGGAACATTTTTACACTATTGGTGCTAATGTAAACTAGTACAACCACTATGGAAAACAGTATGGAGATTCCTTAAAGAAGTAAAAGTAGACCTATCATTTGATCCAGTAATCCAACTCCTAGGTATTTACCCAGAGGAAAAGAAGTCATTTTATGAAAAAGATACTTGCACATGTATGTTTATAGCAGAACAATTCACAATTGCAAAAATATGGAACCAGCCCAAATGCTCAGCAATCAATGAGTGGATACAGAAAATGTGTGTGTGTGTGGTGTGTGTGTGTGTGTATAATGAAATACTACCCAGCCATAAAAAGGAAAAAAAATGGCATTTGCTGCAACCTGGATGGAATTAGAGACCATTATTCTAAGTGAAGAAACTCAGGAATGGAAAACCAAACATTGTTCTTGGGGGAAAGGGTGGGAGGGGGTGAGGAATAAAAGACTACCCATTGGTTACAGTGTACACTGCTTGGGTTACAGGTGCACCAAAATATCTATAATTACCACCAAAGAACTTACTTATGTAGCCAAACACCACCTGTTCCCCAAAAACCTATTGAAATAAAAAAAAATCCTAGGTGATGGGTTGATCTGTCCAGCAAATCACAATGGCACACATTTACCTATGTAACAAACCTGCACATCCTGCAAATGTACCCTGGAACTTAAAATAAAAGTTGAAGAAACATATAAATAAAATTCTTTATCATAAAAAGGAAATTCTATCTTCTACTTGGTCTAGTCTATTGATAACACTCTCAATTGTATTTTGGTATTCCTCAAGTATTTGTTTTTAATTTCCAAAGCTTTGATAAATTTCTCTTTAAGATGCTCATCTTTTCCTTAATTTTCTAGATTCATTTAGACCTGCCTTTGTGTTGATTTTCAACCTTGTCTTTTGTATCATTGAGCTTGCTTGAAATCCATGCTTTGAATTATTTATCCGTCATTTCTAAATTTCCCTTTTGGTTAGGGACCATTGCTGGAGAGCTAGTGTAATCCTTTAATGGTATCACTACGTTCAGATTTTTTATGGTGTCAGAATTCTTGTGCTGATTCCTTCTCATTTGGGGATGCTGGCACTTCTAATTTTTATACACATTTTTGTGGGGACAGGAATTTTTTTATTTCTTTCACCATAATTTTATTGTTTTTTTTTTTTTCCCGTTCCTTTTCCCCTTCTGCAGAAAGTGTGGCTGTAGAAAATGTTGGGTAGTGACTTTTGGCTTTTCTTCTATAGCTTTATGTGGTACTGATGGCAGCTTTTATATTGGGCTGTGTGGTTTGATCTAGAAGTAAATAGATTGCGTTTATGGGTAAGAGCTGGCTGTGGTCAAACTGGCTGGGTATATACTTGGTTTCTGTTTACAGAGAGAAGTTATATGTTGCCTCAGACAATGAGCTGATCCATGGAGTGCACAGGGGTTGGAACTCTCTACTCAGCCCCAGGGTGCTCAGGGACAAGTTTAGCAGGGCTGCACCAGACGGACCTGCCTATGGGTCCCCCAATGGCACACACAAGCACCAGCACTGAGGCAGAATCCAGTGGGAAAATACCAAGCACCTAGATGTGTGCCTTTGTGGGCAGATGGGAAACCTCCTTGGCCCCAAGTTATCTGCATGGGTTTGGAGGGTGGCCTAAACTCCTAATACAGGAGAGTGGAAGTTCCAGATGCCTCAAACTTTATCTGGGCATGAGGTGTAGAAGACTCCACTGCACCACAATCTCTGCATAAGAAGAGTGGGGCAGTTCAGGCTTCGAATACTGGTGAGGAGGTACTTCGATTGCCTGGATTCCTGCCTCGGATGGAGCAAAGAGAGCCCTCTCAGCGCAATAATCTTAGTGCAGTAAGGTGGGGAACCCACCAATGGCACATGCAGATTAGGTCCAGGTTGCCAAGCTAGACCTGGCTGCAAGTCTCATTGCCCAAGAGAAACTGCAGTTGTAATAGTTCTTCTCCCACCTCAGGCTTGTCAAGTGGATGAGCACAGTTCGAGCATCTACTGCTGAGGCACCTTCCACAGTTTTGGCTGCGGAGGCCTCTACCCTACTCCAAAGCAAGTGCTCCAATCTCTGGACCAAGACTAAAATACCTGTGTGGCCTTGCTGCTGGGTCATCAAAGAGTGGCTGACTTTGTATGTACCTGGATTAAAAATGCATCCTGCTCTCGATCCCCAGGTCTGGGAAAACGCCTGCAGCTTTTCCAGGTTTCTTTTCCTCTCAGCGCATCCAAGCCTCTCCCCAAGATAGCTTGGGAGAAACAAAGTGTTCTTCCTTGACATGAAATGCTAAAAGCCTCTTTTATGCAATCTTGGAAAAACCTAATTTTAAAGATTTATTTTTAAATTGACATATTATAATTGTATATATTTAGGAAGTACATAGTGATGTTTTGATATACGTCATGGATAGTGATGAGATCAGGATAATGAGCATATCCACCATCTCAAATTTTTATAATTTCATTGTGTTGGGAACATTCAATATTCTCCTTCTAGGCATTTGAAACTATGCAGTAGATTATTGTTAACTATTAAGTTTGTTTTTATGCAAAAAATAAACCATTATTTTCTAAGCCTCATTGGTTGTTTTTTGTTGTTGTTGTTTTTGTTTTTTTTTTTGTAACTTGTATCTGATCATATTCTTAATTAATGCACAGGCTAATGAAAGCTGCCACTGAGCTCCCAAATATTCTCATTTATGAAGAACATGTGATACGCCACCCATTCTTCCCACCTTTCATCCTCTACAAAAAATCAGAGTGTCGGGGGGGAAACTGATGATTTGAAATTCTTTTAAAATGGCTATGAGTATTCATTTTCGATTCCCTAAAGAAATTTGGAAAGACATTATGTTAGTCTTTGTCATTTGAAAACACCAACAGTACTATATGATGAAATAAGGTGAGTATGGACTATGTTTGCAAACAATAATAGTATTTATAATGTATATGGTATTTCTTCTTAAATGAGGCCCTCAGTAATACTCTCCAGATGCTTTCCCTAATAAAAATACCTATGATTTACCTAATGTTTCCACTTTCAACTCTCAGAGCTAATTTATTGTTTCAGGATATGTTAATTACATGGTGCACAAATTTGCATTTACAAATCAATAAATATGCGAGAAATCTTATTACCCAGCCAGCTTTAAAAATGTAGCTTGTAACATACCTTGGAAACTGAGAAGTCCTGCTGAGCTGGGACCATTTCTTCCAACTGTTGCCTACAGGGGCAAGAGGATGAATTTAATGGCATTCTGCAACATGCCACTATAAATGAAAAAAAATCTCGTTTGTGTGGATAAAATTTTGACTTGAAGTAGCCTAAAATTAGCAGATTAATATTCAATTACAGGCAACAACACGGATTTATTTTTAAGATACCTTTCATATAGATTACATTTGAGAGAGATTAGAGTTCAAAGATATGAGTAGAGATCCTATTTTTTTAAATCCGTTCTGTATCACAAACATGCCAAACAGCTAAAAGATGAGATAAAACAGAACTACAAGAAAGAAGTTTAAATTTCCAAGGCAACAGACAGCTCTGAGGTTCCTGGTTTTAAAACATCGTCACCATCATCATTCTTTATTTATATATGAATTGAGTCTTAACAGTATAACAAATGGCTAAATACATTACAATAATCTAGTATTTACATAGAAATCTCTTTACAGTTTGACAACTGTATAGAAGTACCTCTTTTAGAAATGATATTCAAACAAGACTGATCACCAGAAGATGTCTAGTGTATAAAAAATTAGCCCATTCACTGACATAACTAGTTTTAGTCTGATATTCCTAAACTATTATTTGTACTTTTCTCCTCTACCCTTGTGTGATATGTCTTTACTTAGTATTTCTCTTTGTTGCCTGTGATATTACTGTTTTCTTTCTATTTCTACTAGACCATCAAATAAATGGCTTTGATAAAAAATAACCAGTATATAACAGAAAGGGAATGATGTGTATACATTACAGAAGGAGTGTGTCTAAATAATTCAGGAGTTTTGCTCAAAGAGATACAGTAAGCAATAAACACATAATTGATCAGAGACATGCAATTGTGTTTTAAAGTTATAAAATGATTGACAGTATTGCTATATATATGAAAATAATTTGTTAATCAAAGAGGAGATGGTCCACAATGGATGCCAAAAATATTCAAAGTCAGTTATATTAAAAAAACTTATTGATCACCTAGTACGTGATTTATACACAGAATCTGTTCTTTAGGAATGCAAAACAGTAAGAAGAAGAATTTCATTGCAATGGTTTAAATGTTAAAATCAATGTAAGCCCACAGCACTGTAAGAGCACCAAGAAGGAGCATCTATCTCAGCCTGAGATATGGCAGGGGAGGATTCCTGAAGGATGTGACAGATGAGACATGTGCACAGGAACATAAATGAAGAGTTAGAATTATCCAGGTGGTTGAACAGAAGGGGTGTGAAAAGAACCAGATGGAGAGTTTCTTAGCCGATAGTTCAGAAATAGCATGGTGTGGTGATGGAACTACACCTAAGTCAGTGCTCCCGGAGCAAAATGTCAGGAAATGGATAGACAAGCAGGGGCCAGATAATGAAGGTCTGAAGGCCAGACTGTGAAGTTTGGACTTTATCTTTTGGTAATACTCACACTGGGGTTTTCCAAGATGTGCTAAGTGTGTCAAAGGACAGGACAAACATGGTGTATATTTCTGAGGCACAATTTTTAACTTGATGGTATATAAATTGAAACATTATTTCTAATTCAAAACAAATATATATTATCATTTACAATTGAAAATTGCCAGTGAACAAGTTTAAGACAAAACATAAGACTTTAAAGAATTTTCAAACTTGTAGTCTTTGTTACCACGCCACACTTACTACAGATATCAGTCTGTAGTTTTCTTTTTTGGTTATATCCTTTCCTGGTTTTAGTATTAGGGTCATGCTGGCTTCCTAGAATGAACTAGGGAGGATTCCCTCTTTCTCTGTCGTGTGGAATAGTGTCAAAAGGATTGGTACTAATCCAGAAAGCTCCTAGAACTGATAAAAGAATTCAGCAAAGTTTCTGGATACAAGATTAACGTACACAAATCAGTAGCTCTTCTATACACCAACAGCAGCCAAGTGGAGAACCAAACCAAGAACTCAACCCCTTTAACAATAACTGCAAAAAAATAAAATAAAATAGAAATATACTTATATTTCTATATAGGTATATATTAGAAATATACCTAACAAAGGAATTGAAAGGCCTCTACAAAAAGATTTGTATTTTGGATCACCATGGCAGTTGTGTGAAGGATGGATTTGAGGAGGAGGGCAGAGTGGGGCAGCACAATAGGTTAGGAAGCTATTACAGCAAGGGTGATATAGGATTAAACTAGGGTCACAGTAGATAGAGAGAAGGGCACAGAGATCAGAAAAGTTTTGTAGGTAAGATAGGCAGAATTTAGTGACTAAATATGGGAGCTTAGGAAAAGAGAAATCTAAAACAAATCTTCAGTTTCTTCCTTGAATACTTGGGTAGGTAGAGTATAATAAATACCTCTGGCTTTAAGAAAGAGATAATAACTTTATGTTGGATATGTTGAGTGTGAGTTTCCTGGTGAGACATCTAGGTTAGAGATTTTCCTGACCCAAATGGGATACTAAGTGGGAAGACATTTATCTTCCCAGCCCTCAGGATGGCTGGGCATTTCCTGAGGCAACTAGAGTCCTCTGCTGGTCAGGCTCACACTTCAGGCTGCACACAGCCTTATCAACTAACCCCAGGATGTTGTAAAATTATTTTTATTTTCTATGTGTTCCATGCCATACAAAATTTTGGGAAAGACCAGTCTAAGGGATGGTGCTTAGTTGGCTGCTGAATATATAAGTACATACCTTAGAAGAACTATAAAAGATAACCAATAGCTAACATTTTGGAGATTTGTTATGTGCCAGGCACTGTTCTAGGAACTTTGAATTTATTAACTAATTCAATCCTAAAAGCAATCTTACAAAATAGTAGGCATTTTGTTATCACCATTTTATGGATCAGGGAACTGAAGTACCAAGAGGTTAAGTAGCTCACCCAACGTCCCTTAGCTAGTAAGAAGAAGAAGCAGAGCTTGATGTTATTAACCAGTCAAATCATCATGCAGCCTACTCCGCTTGTTCTATATCTGTGCTCACCAGGCAAATTTCTGATTATGTTTTGACTTTCCACATAAGCGACTGGGAGAAAATCAGCTGGTCAGAGGATTGAGGATTATAATTCTTTTGACAATTATAGTTATCATTATAAAATAATGAGCCAACATTCTTGTTTAGATGCCAGTCTTTGGTGAGATTGGAGAGTATAAGTCAGCTTTTTGGAGACTAACCAGCTTTTAAATACAGATAGGATTGAACATTTGGCCTTAAAATGGTGACTGCCTGTTCCTATACTGTGATAACTCTCAGCATAAATCCTACCTGGTGATGCCTCTAGGCAGCAAAAAGGCTTCTTCTGGTAGGTCCTGATATCTTGATATAATTTTTTTGAACTTCTTACTGCAGAAGCAGGATAAAGAAAAAAACAGTCCATGAAAGAGATATGGGCGCAGCTTTCTACATGTGGAACTCATTGGATACAATGATTTTGCTCACGAGGATTTACACAAGGTGAGGAAGAAGTCAGGCTTTGGTTCAGTAAATAAAGCTAACTGTTTTATATTACAATTACTGCATTTAGAGCCAACCGCGTGTGGTGACAAAGAGCAAACTCAGTGTTGGCAAACATAGTTTGCATTTTCTTCATTTCCTCTGTCAATTAGCCCCCATTCAGATTGAAAAGTCAGGAGCCCAGGTCAGAGAAAGGTAAACCACAAAGGATTGAAGCTCTGAAGAAAATGTCATTGTTGATTGGAGAATTGAGTAGCTCAGAGTTGTTTTTCTTTTCATCAGAGAATGAAGAGGATAGCTTTCTCTTGGCAAGCAATGCTGCAAAACACTATGCCATCTCTATTACATTTTCTTCAGTAAACATACTTTCAAGTAATCAAGAATCAAAAACAAAAGTACCAAGGGAAAAGATCTAAAGTTATTAAGAAAAACAAAGGAATGTTAAATGAGATTTTGTTTCTTATTTATAAATATTGACTGCTTGGAAACTTAGACTTTCTAACCCTTTGTTTTCTCCTCTATAAAACTGGGAAAATGGAAGTTACTTCACAGCCTAGAGATTGAATGAAATATTTTTTGGATATAAGTATCAAGCACACAGTACCTGAAACATGTCAAACAAGCAATAAAAGCTATTTTTTTCGAGATGACAGATAAGAAGAGGCTTTTTAAGCATGCCTCAGTCCTTTGAAAATAGCAACACAGTGCATAAAAATCAACTACCTAAGCTCTAATTCAAGATGGAAAACTTGAATCCATTGGAAACATGAAGGAAATCTCAAATAATGGGGAGAAGAATGTGAGTGGCAAATAGCCCCCATGACAGTGTCCAGCTGATAAAACTGAATGAAGCCTCAGTACCAGAGAGAGGCAGAGATCTCTCTGTTACTCACCTTTACACTGGAGATCTAAGCAACCCAGATCAAGGGAGAGCACTTTGTTTCAGCCAAGCCTTGGAGCTAACTTGAGGAGAGGATTGGAGGTGCAGAGAGGGAAAGACACTGGGGAAAAGCTGCAGGCATTTTTCCAGATCTGGGACCAAGAGCAGGATGCCATTCTAAATCCAGGTGCATACAAAGTCAGTCATTCTTTGGTGACCTGGCAGCATGGCCATTCAGGCATTTTAGTTTCAGGCCAGAAATTAGAGCACATGTTCTGGAGCAGGGTAGGGGCCTCCACAGCCAGAATTGCAAAAAGGACCTCAGCAGTGGACGCTGGAACTCTATTCTCCCCTGTCACAGACTTGAGGTTGTTTGGGAGCCACCACAGCTATAGTTTCTGCTGGGCAATGAGACTTGCATGTGGGGCCAGCTTGCTGACCTGGAACAAGTCTGTGTGTGTCATTGCTGAGTGCTCCAGCCTACTCCCTAGAGGTAAAGGTGGAGAGGGCCCTTTCTACTCCACCCTCAGGCAGAACTTCAGGCATTTGGAGCACCCGCTTGCCAGGACCAGCAGCCTGTGCTGCCCTACCCTTCTTAAGCATAGATAATGGTGCAGCAAGGCCATCTCTGCTCAACATTCTTGTAGCTCTCCAGGCATTCACAGCACCTCATTGCCTGGATCCAGCAGCCTGAGAAGTCTCGCCCTTGCTGTGCATAGATCATGGTGTAGTGGGGCCCTCTCTGTTTGACACTGAGGCATATCTCCAGGCATTCAAGCCACTAGTTCACCTGGAGTGGCAGCCTGACTTGCCTCACGCTTCCTGTGCAGAGATCGTGGTGCAGTGGGCCATCTCCTCTTGACATCCAGGCAGATCTCCAGGCATCAGTAGCACTCACTCTCTTAAATTAAGAGTTTAGGCTGCCTGCCATCCCCATGCAGGGGATAACTCGGGGATAAAGAGGTTTCCCAGCTTCATGCCTAGGCACACCTCTGGGCTCTTGGTGGTTGCCCAGTGGATTATCCCTTGGTGCTGATGTGTGTGCCTGCCATCAGGGAGCCTGTAGGTGGACTTGCCTGGTCAGGCCCTGCCTAACTTCCTCCCCATCATCCCCAGGTTGAGGAGGGAGCTCAGACCACTGTGCACTTCGCCGATCAAACCATTGCCAAAGGCAAAAGAGAGTACCTCCCAGTAAACAAGGATTAAGTATATACCAAGCCTTTCTTCTCCTTCAACTTTTATTTTAATATGTGCAGGTTTGTTCCATAGGTAGATGTGTGCCATGGTGGTTTGCTGCACAGATCTTCCTATCATTTAGGTATTAAGCCCAGCTTTCATTAGCTATTCTTCCCGATGCTCTCCCTCTCCTGACCCATTCTCCGGCAGGCTCCAGTGTGTGTTGTTCCCCCCTTGTGTCTATGTGTTCTCATCATTCAGCTCCCACTTATAAGTGAGAACATGCGGTGTTTGGTTTTCTGTTCCTGCGTTACTTTGTTGAAGATAATGGCTTCCAACTCCATCAATGTTATTGAGGTACACATTGACATGAACAACACATGTAAAGCATACAGTTTACAGTGTTTTCACCTACATTGTAAACTATATGCTTTACATGTGTTGTTCATGTCAATGTATACCTCAATAAAGTGTGTGTGTGTTTTGTTCTTTTTAAAGTATATACCAAGCCTTGTTGGCTACAGCCGGCTCTTACTCATAAGCACCATCTACTGGATGGTACGTCAAACTGCACAGCCTAATATAAAACCTGCTGACAGAAGTCCCATAGAGCTATAGAAGAAAAATCAAAAGACCCTACCCAACATTCTCTACAATCACACCCGCTAGGGAGGGTGGGTAATGGAAAGGGACAGAAGAAATTAAAAAAAAAAAGTTATATAGAAAAAGAAAAAAATCCTACCCCCATAGAAATATTTATGAAAATTAGAAGTACCAGTGTCCCCAGATGAGAAATAACCAGCACAAGAATTCTGGCACCATGAAATACCTGAATGTAGTGATGCCACCAAAGGATCACACTAGCTCTCCAGCAATGGTCCTTAACCAAAATGGAAATTCAGAAGAGAATTCAAAGCATGAATTTCAACGAACTCAGTGAGATCCAAGACAAGGTTGAAAATCAACAAAAGAAACTTCTAAAAGAAATAAAGGAAGAGATGAACATCTTAAAAGGAAATCAATCAAAGCTTCAGGAATTGAAAAACTCACTTATTAAATTTCTAAATACAGTGGAAAAGTTTATTAATAGACTCAAACAATCAGAAGAAAGAATTTCCAAACTTGAAGACTGGTTTTTCAAACTAACCCAGTCAGACAAAAATAAAGAAAAAAGCATTTATTTATTTATTTTTGTTACCTCTTGTGCCTGCTTCTCTTCCATCCACAAACCACACAAAGGCTTGGGTTACGAACCTCTACTGTCTGATATCATGTTCCCACATATCCATTAGTATCTCTACATTAAAGTTAGGTACATTACATAAAGCCCTCACATTGGTTTTCTACATTCAGTTGTGCCTGGTTTCTCTCCATCACTTTAACTGATAAACCTATAGGCATCACAAGAAAACCACATCTGTTGACTTATAAATACTGACATGAATAGGTGACAGGTAGTTAGGAAGTATTTATACCACCTTCATGCATTTATTTTAGGATCAAGGGGTACATGCTCAGGACTGTTATATGGGTAAATTGTGTGTCATGGAGGTTTGGTGTACAGATAATTTTGTCACCCGGGTAGCAATCCTCACCCTCCTCCCACACTCCACCATCAAATAGGCCCCAGTGGCTATTGTTTCCTTCTTTGTGTCCATGTGTACTCAATATTTAGTTCCTACTTATAAGTGAGAACATGTGGTGTTTGGTTTTCTGTTTCTGCATTAATTTGCTTAGGATTATGGCCTCTGGCTCCATCCATGTTACTGCAGAGGAGATAATCTCATTTTTAAATAGCTGTGTAGTATTTCATGGCGTATATGTACCACATTCCAGTCCACTGTTGATAGGTATCTAGGTTAATTCCCTGTCTTTGCTATTGTGAAGAGTGCTGCGATAAACATATGTGTGCATGTGTCTTTATGATGGAATAATTTCTATTCTTTTGGGTATATACCCAGTAATGAAATCATTGGATGTAATAGCAGTTCTATTTTAAATTCTTTGAGAAATCTCCAGACTGATTTTCACAGTGTCTAAACTAGTTTATATTCCCACCAACAGTGTATAAGCATTTCCTTTTCTCTGCAACTTCATCAGCATCTGTTAATTTTTGACGTTTTAGTAATAGCCATTCTGACAGGTATGAGATGGTATCTTATTGTGGTTTTGATTTGCATATCTCTAATGATTAGTGATGGAGAGTATATTTTCTTATGCTTGTTGGCCACATATATGTCTTCTTTTGAGAAGTATTGGTTCATGTCCTTTGCCCATTTTTTAAATGGGGTTGGTTTTGCTTTTTGATTTTTTGGATATTAAACCTTTGTTGGATGTGTAGTTTACAGATACTTTCTTCCATTCTATACATTGTTTTTAACTCTGTTGATAATTTCTTTTGCTATGCATAAGCTCTTTAGTTTAATTAAATCTAACTTGTCAATTTTTGTTTTTGTTGCAATTGTTTTTGGAGTCTTCATCATTGCCTGCACTGATGTCGAGAATGGTATTTCTTAGATTTACTTCTAAAGTCTTTATAACTTTAAGTTTACATTTAAGTTTTTAATCCATCTTGAGTTGGTTTTTGTACATAATGAAAGGTAGGGGTCCAATTTCAATCTTCTGCATATGGCCAGCCAATTATACCAGCACCACTTGTTGAATAGGGAGCCCTTTCTTTATTATTTATTATTATTGACTTTGTCAGAGATCAGATGGTTGTAGGTGTGCAGCTTTATCTCCGGGTTCTCTAACTTGTTACATTGGTCTATGTGTCTGTATTTGTACTAGTATCATGCTGTATTAGTTAATGTAGCTTTGTAAGATAGTTTGAAGTTTGTGTGATGCCTCCAGCTTTGTTCTTTTTGCTTAGGATTGATTTGACTATTTGAGCTACCTTTTTGTTCCAAATGAATTTTAGAATATTATTTTCTAGTCCTTTAAAAAATGTTATTGGGAGGCCAAAGCAGGTGAATCACGAGGTCAGGAGATCGAGACCATCCTGGCTAACACGGTGAAACCCCGTCTCTACTAAAAATACAAAAAATTAGCCAGGCGTGGTAGCAGGTGCCTGTAGTCCCAGCTACTCAGGAGGCTGAGGCAGGAGAATGGCATGAACCTGGGAGGCAGAGCTTGCAGTGAGCCGAGATCATGCCACTGCACTCCAGCGTGGGCGACAGAGCAAGACTCCATCTCAAAAAAAAAAAAAAATGTTATTGGTAGTTTGATAGAAATAGCATTGAATCTGTAAATAGCTTTGGGCACTATGTAAATTTTAACAATATCAATTCTACCTATTCATGAGCATGGAATGTTCTTCCATTTGCTTGTGTCATCTCTGAATTATTTCAGCAGTGTTTTGTAATTCTTGCTGTAGAAATCTTTCTCCTCTGTGGTTAGCTGTATTACTATGTATTTTTGTGTTTGTAGCTATTGTGAATAGGATTGCATTCTTGATTTAGCACTCAACTTGGACATTGTTGGTGTATAAAATGCTACTAATTTTTGTGCATCAATTTTGTATCCTGAAACTTTGCTGAAATTGTTTATCAAATCTAGAAGCCTTTGAGCAAAGACTGTGGGGTTTTCTAGGTACAGTACCATATTGTCTGTGAAGAGAGATAGTTTGACTTCCTTTCTTCCCTATTTTAATGTCTTTAATTGCTTTTTCTTGCCTGATTGCTCTGGCTAGGACTTCCAGTACTATGTTAAATAAGAGTTAAATAAGAACGCTGATAGTGGGCATCCTTGTCTTGTTCTGGTTCCCAAGGACAATACTTCCAGATTTTGCCAGTTCAGTATGAGGTTGGCTGTGGATTTCTTGTATATGGCTCTTATTATTTTGAGGTACGTACCTTTGATGCCTAATTTGTCGAGAGTTTTTAACATGAAGGGAAGTTGAATTTTGTAAAAAGCCTTTTCTATGTCTATTGAGAAGATCATGTAGTTTTTGTTTTTAATTCTGTTGATATGATGAATCATATTTATTGATTTGTATATGTTGAACCAACCTTGCATCCCAGGAATAAAATCTACTTAATCACGGTGTAGCAGGACAAGCTGCAGACAAAACTCCTCAGACACCAAGTTAAAGAAGGAAGGGGTTTATTTGGCCAGGGGCATCGGCAAGACTCCTGTCTCAAGAGCCGAGCTTCCCGAGTGAGCAATTGCTGTCCCTTTTAAGGGCTCACAACTCTAAGGGGGTGTGGGTGACAGGGTCGTGATCCATTGAGCAAGCAGGGGATACGTGACTGGGGGCTGCATGCACTGGTAATTAGATCGGAACAAAACAGGATAGGGATTTTCACAGTGCTTTTCTATACAATGTCTGTAATCTATAGATAACATAACCGATTAGGTCAGGGGTCAATCTTTAACTAACAGGCCCAGGGTGTGGCGCCGGGCTGTCTGCTTGTGGATTTCATTTCTGCCTTTTAGTTTTTACTTTTTCTTTCTTTGGAGGCAGAAATTGGGCATAAGACAATATGAGGGGTGGTCTCCTCCCTTAACAGTAGATCAGATTTTTAATGGGTTGCTGGATTCAGTTTGCTAGTATTTTGTTGAAGATTTTTGCAACTATATTCATCAGGAATACTGGCCTGAAGTTTTCTGGGTTTTGGAATTTTCAGCCTTTTTGCACTGGTTTCTCCCCATCTTCGTGGATTTATCTACCTTTGGTCTTTGAAGTCAGTGACCTTCAGATGGGGTCTCTGAGTGGACGTCCTTTTTGTTGATGTTGATACTATGCCTTTCTGTTTGTTACTTTTCCTTCTAACAGTCAGGCCCCTCAGCTGCAGGTCTGCTGGAGTTTGCTGGAGGTCTGCTCCACACCCTGTTTGCTTGGGTTTCACCAGCGGAGGCTGCAGACCAACAAAGATTGCTGCCTGTTTCTTCCTCTGGGAGCTTCATCCCAGAGGGTCACCTGTCAGATGCCAGACCAGCTCTCTTGTATAAGGTGTCTGTCAGCCCCTACTGGGAGGTATCTCCCAGTCAAGATACACGGGGGTCAGGGATCCACTTGAGGAGGCAGTATGTCCCTTATCAAAGTGTGAACGGTGTGCTGGTAGATCTGCTGCTCTCTTCAGAGTTGCCAAGTAGGGACATTTAAGTCTGCTGAAGCTGCGCCGACAACCGCCCCTTCCCCCAGGTGCTCTGTTCCAAGGAGGTGGGGGCTTTATCTCTAAGTGACTGGGGCTGTTGCTTTTTTTTCAGAGATGCCCTGCCCAGAGAGGAGACAGTCTGGCTGCAGTGGCCTTGCTGAGCTGGGGTGGGCTCCGCCCAGTTTGAACTTCCCAGTGGCTTTGTTTACACTGTGGCGGTAAGACCGCCTACTCAAGCCTCAGCAATGGTGGACGCCCCTCACCCCACCAAGCTCGAGCATCCCAGGTAGAGCTCAGATTGCTGCTGTGCTGGCAGCAAGGATTTCAAGCCAGTGGATCTTAGCTTGCTGGGCTCTGTGGAGGTGGGACCCACAGAGCCAGACTACTTGGCTCCCTGGTTTCAGCCTCCTTTTCAGGGGAGTGAATGGTTCTGCCTCGCTGGCATTCCAGACCCCACTGGGTTATGGACAAAAAACTCCTGCTGCTAGCTTGGTGTCTGTCCAAACAGCCACCCAGTTTTGTGCTAGAAACCCAGGGCCCTGGTGTCGTGGGCACCAGAAGGAATCTCCTGGTCTGTGGGTTGTGAAGACTGTGGGTAAATCACAGTATCTGGGCTGGGGTGCACAGTACAGTCCCTAATGGCTTCCCTTGGCTCAGAGATGGAGTTCCTCGACCCCTTATGCTTCCCAGGTGAGGTGATGCCCCACCCTGCTTTGGCTCGCCTTCCTTGGGCTATATCCACTGTCCAACCAGTCCCAATGAGATGAAGTGGGTACCTCAGTTGGAAATGCAGAAATCACTCCCCTTCTGCATCAGTCTCGCTGGGAGCTACACACCGGAGCTGTTCCTATTCAGCCATCTTGCCAGCAACCTGGCCTGAAGTTTTCTTTTTTTGTTGTGTCTTTTGCTTTATAGTGTGGGTATACTATGTACTTAAGTGTATTTCTGTGGTGCCAGATAACGATCTTTTGTTTCCATGTTTAGCAATCCCTTAAGTACCTCTTGTAAGGCAGGCCTGGTGGTAATGAATTCCCTTAGCATTTGCTTGTCTGAAAAGGATACTGTTTCTTCCTGGCTTCCGAAACTTAGTTTGGCTGGATATGAAATTCTTGGTTGGCATTTCTTTTCTTGAAAGATGCTGAATGTATGCTCCTAATCTCTTCTGGCTTGTAGGGTTTCTGCTGAAATGTCTACTGTTAGCCTGATGGAGTTCCCTTTGTATGCGACCTGCCCTTTCTCTCTAGCTGCCTTTAATATTTAATATTTTTTATTTCATGTTGACCTTGGAAAATCTGATGACTATGTGTCTTGGGGATGGTCATCTTGCAAAGTATCTCACAGGAGTTCTTTGAATTTCTTGAATTTGTATGTCGACCTCTCTAGCAAGGTTGGGGAAATTTTTGTGAACAGTATAACTCAAGAATATTTTCCAAGTGGCTTGCTCTCTCTATTTCTCTTTCAGGGATGCCAATAAGTCATATATATGCTGTCTTTACATAATCTCGTATTTCACAGAGGCTTTGTTCATTTTTTAAAAATATTTATTTTTGTCTTACTAATTCAAAGAACCAGTCCTCAAGCTCTGAGATTCTTTTCTCAGCCTTGTCTATTCAGCTGTTAATACTTCCGCGTAGTGAACTATTCATCTCTATCAGCTTGGATTTGTTCTTTCTTAAAATGGCCATTTCAGCTTTCATTTCTTGAATTGTTTTACTAGATTCCCTAGAATGAGTTACAACTTTCTCCTGCATCTCAATAATCTTCCTTGCCACCTAAATTCTGAATTCTGTCTTTCACTTCAGCCATTTTATTCTCATTAGGATACATTGCTGGGGAGGTAGTGTGGTCATTAGGAGGTAAGGAGATTCTCTGGCGTTTACGGTTTCTAGAATTTTTGCACTGGTGCTTTCTCATATATGTGGGCTGATTTTCCTTTAACTGTGGTGTAATTTGAGTATAATCAATTGACTTTATTTCTGGATGTTTTCAGAGGGCTTTGGCTTTGTGTGAGGTCATTATTTGTGGCTTAATTCTTGTCCTTGGCTTCACAGGGCGTTATATTAAGAAAGTATTTTTGGTGTTGAAGTTTGGGGTGTGATCCAGTAGATGACACTTAAGCATAATGGCTGCCAGGCAGACTTGCTGAGCCATGTCGCTCCTCTGTATTTCCTCACAATTACAGCTGTGCTCCCTCTCAGTACTCTGAGAGTGTGGGCTCTTCTCTCACTCAAATGTTGGCTGCAGATCATGGCTTGGCACTCCTGAGCTGCACACTGCAGCCTTAGGTTGTGCTCAGGCTTTATGTTACCACCCACACTTGGGAGCAGCAGGGGCAGAAACCTTGGCAATGACAATGGCAGATGGCCTTTTATTTGTTTCTTGGTGATCTACCCAAGAGAAATACAGAGCCACGGCCAATCACAATGATCATCCCAGGGTGGGGCAGCTGTATTGCTGGCCCAAGCTGGGGGATGGGGGAGACCTTGCCTGGTGACTAGCAGGGAGCAGGGGGCAGGCTTACAAAGAGACAGACTGGCCTCTTTTCCTTAGGGTGGCTGTAGCATGTTGGAGGTGTGAATAAAGAAACCAGGCTATTCTTTCCCAAATCTGAGGGCAACAAGGACAGTACCACTGCAGTGGCAGTGGCAGAGGCAGAGGAGTTTCAGTTGCTTCTGGGAACTCTACCAAAGAGAAATGCAAAGTTGCTGCCAATGAGAATTTTCAGCTGGGGGATGGGGAAGCTGCACTGTGGGCCCAAGCCTGGGGCCCTGCCTGATAATGAGTAGGGGGTCAGGGACTCACAGGGCAGAGAGGATGAGTGAGCTCACCTCTGTGGCATGCTGGAGGTGTGAGTAAGGCACTCAGGCTCCTTGTTCCTTCTTCAGTCTGAGTACAGCAAAGGCAGTACCACTGCAGTGGTAGTGTCAGAGGGGTTGTCAGTTGCCTCTGGAAGCTCCACTACAGGGAAACACAGAGCCACTGCCAGTAGGAATGTTTAGCTGAGAGTGGGGCAGCTGCTCTGTGAGTCTGAACCAGGAGCTCTGCCTGTTGATGTGTAGGGGGTGGGGACCTACAGAGAAGAAAAATGGAGATACTCTCCATGGGAGGTTGTGGCATGCTGGATGTGCCAGAAAAACAACCAGACCCTTTGTTTCTTCCCCAGGCCAATAGCAGTAAAGGTGGTACTGCTGCGGCTGCAATGGCAGAGGGGCTATGGGTTGTCTCTGGTATTTCATTTTCATAGAAATGCAGAGCTCCCACCAACAGAAATGTTCAGGTGGGGACAAGGCAGTTGTGCTGGGGGCCCAGGTAGAGAGGTCATGCCCAGTGAGGAATAAAAAAGGCAGGAACCCATATGGAAAGCAGTCTGGCAACTTTTCCATAGGGCAGCTGTACTGTGCTGGAGGCCTACAGTAGTCCTAAGCTCTTCGCTCCCTCCTGAGCCTAATGGAAGCAGGGATGGGGGCTATGGAGTGGTAGCCTGCTTGCTACCTCTGGGATCTCTGTCCCAGGGAAATGCAGAGCTTATACTGGCTCAAGAGCTCAAGTGGGGGCGAGGTGTCTGGGCTCCCAGGCCAGGAGGTCCCACCCAGTGAGAAGTAGTGGAGGCAGGGACCCATGTGGAAAATAGTCTGATTACTTTTCCAAAAGGCAGGTACACTGTGCTGGAGGCCCATGATTGTCCCTAAGCTCCTCACTTCCTCCTAAGCCTGAGGTCAGCAGGAGTGGGGGCTGCCTGAGAAAAGAATTTAAAACATGCACAAAGTCTTTGTGCAATATGGGATTATGTAAAGTGACAAAACCTATGAATTATTTACATTCCTGAAAGAGAAGGAGAAAAGGTAAACAAATTGGAAAACATATTTGAGGAAATAATTCAAGAACATTTTCCTAATCTTTCCAGGGTGATAGACATCCAGATATAAGAAATACAGAGAACCCCTTTGAGATATTATAAAAATCTATTATCACCAAGACATATAGTCAGTATACTGTCTAAGGTCAATGCCAAAGACAAAATCTTAAAGGCAGCTAGAGAAAAAGGTCAGATCACATACAAAGGGAATCTGATAAGGTGAACAGAGGATGATTCAGCAGAAAACTTACAAGCTAGAAGAGATTGTGGGCCTATTTTCCGCATTCTTAAAAAGAAGAAATTTCAACCCAGAATTTAATATCCTTCCAAACTAAGCTGCATGAGCAAAGGATAAAGAAAACCTGCTCTAGACAAGCAAGCGCTAAGGGAATTTGTTGCCATTAATCCAGCCTTACAAAAGACCCTTAAGGGGGTTCTAACATGGAATTGAAAGAAAGATCCCTGCTACTACAAAAGCACACTTATGTACCTAGCCCACAGACCCTATAAAGCAACCACTAATAGGAACCCGAAGCAATCATCTAGCAATGTCATGATAGGATCAAAACCTCACATATCAGTAATAACCCATATTGTAAAGAGTCTAAATGACCCAGTTAAAAGACACAGGGGTAAATTGGACAAAAAACAAGACTTATTTGTCTATTATCATCAAGAGACTCATCTCACGAGTTACAACACCCATAAGGTCAAACTAAAGAGATGGAAAAAGATCTATCATGCAAACCAAAAACAAAAAGAAGCAAGAGTTTCCACTCTTATATAAGATAAGGTATAAATACAGCCAACATTTGGTCACCCAGATTCATAAAACAAGTACTTCTACACCTACAAAACACTCAGACAATCAAGACGGCAAAACAATAATAGTGGGGGCTTCAACACTCCACTGATAGGGTAGCACAGATTGCTGAGGCAGAAAACTACCAAAAATTTCTGGACAAAACTATGACACTTGACCAATTGGACATAATAGACAGCTACAGAATACACCACCCATCAACCACAGAATATACATTTTTCCCATCTGCACACAGAACATACTCCAAGATCAACCACATGCTCAGCCATAAAGGAAGTCCAAAAAATTAAAAAAATATATTAAATCATACCAACCATATTCTCAGTCTGCAGTGGAATAAAAATAGAATTCAGTTGCAAAAATATCTCTCAAAACCCCACAATTACATAGAAATTAAGCAACTTGCTGCTGAATGACTTTTGGGTAAACAATAAAATTAAGGCAGAAATAAAAAAATCTTTAAAATAAATGAAAACAGAGACACAACATACCAAAATCTCTGAAAGTCAGCAAAAGCATGTTAAGGTGAAAGTTTATAGTGTAAAAGCCTACCTAAAGAAGTTGGATAAGTCTCAAATTAACCGTCAACCATCTAACATCCCACCTAGAGGAACAACAACAAACAAAAACCTGATTTCAAAGCTAGCAGAAAATGTTAGAAAGATTTCAAGTTAACAGCCTAATGTGACAACAAAAAGAACTAGAGAACCAAGACAAAACAAACACCAAAGCTAGCAGAACACAAGAAATAACCAAAATTAGAGCTGAACTGAAGGAGGTAGAGACCCACACAAAAAACTATTGAAAATTTGAAGAAATCCAGGAGCTGGCATTTTGAGAAAATTTATAAAATAGATAGACTGTAGTTAGGCTAATAAAAAAGAGAGAAGATTCAAATAAGCACAATCAGAAATGATAAAACAGATATTACCACTGACACACAAAAAATACAATCATGAGAGAATATTATAAACACTTCTATGCACATAAACTAGAAAATCTACAAGATATTGATAAACCTGGACAAATATACCCTTCCAAGACTGAACCAGGAAAAAATTGAATCCCTGACCAGACCAGTTCTGAAATTTATGCGGTGATAAATAGCTTACCAATGAACAAAAGCCTAGGACCAGACAGAGTCACAGCTGAATTCTACCATACGTAGAGAGAAGAGACGGCACCATTCTTACTGAAACTATTCCAAAAAATTGAAAAGCAGGGACTCCTCCCTAACCTGGCAGAGATACAACAGAAAAGAAAATCTCCAAGCCAATATCATTGATGAACATTGATGCAAAAATCCTCAACAAAATACTGGCAAATGGAATCCAGCCACACATCAAAAAGCTTATCCACCATGATAAAGTAGGCTTCATTCTTGAGATGCAAGGTTCATTCAACATACACAAATCAATAAATGTGATTCATCACATAAACAGAACTAAAGACAAAAACCATGTGATTATCTCAATAGATGCAGAAAAGGCTTTCTAAAAAGTTCAGCATTCCTTTAAGTTAAAAATTCCCAATAAACTAGGTATTGAAAGACCATACCTCAAAATAATAAGAGTCATGTATGACAAACCCACAGCCCACATTATACTGAATGGTCAGAAGGTGGAAGCATTCCCTTTGAAAACTGGCACAAGACAGGGATGCCCTCTCTCACCATTCCTATTCAACATAGTATTGGAAGTTCTCGTCAGGGCAATCAGGCAAGAGAAAGAAATAAAAGGCATCCAAATAGAAAGAGAGGAATTCAAACTATCCCTATTTGTAGACAACATGATTCTCTATCTAGAAAATCCCATCATCTGAGCCCAAAATCTTCTTAAGCTAATAAGCAACTTCAGTAAAGTCTCAGGACACAAAATCAATGTGCATAAATTGCTAGCATTCCTATACACCAAAAACAGCCAAGCTGAGCTCAAAATTAGAAATGAATTCCCATTCACAACTGACACAGAAAGAATAAAATACTTAGGAATGCAGCTAACAAGGGAGGTGAAAGATCTCTACAAGGGGAACTACAAACCACTGCTCAAAGAAATCAGAGATGACACAAACAAATGGAAAAACATTCCATGCTCATGGATATGAAGAATCAATATAATGAAAATGGTCATACAGCCCAAATTAATTTATAGATTCAATGCTATTTCTATTAAACTGCCATTGACATTCTTCACACAACTAGAAAAACTATTTTAAAATTTACATGAAACCAAAAAAGAGCCCAAATATCCAAGGCAATCCTAAGTAAAAAGAACAAAACTGGAAGCATCACTCTACCTGACTTCAAACTATACTACAGGGCCACAGTAACCAAAACAACATGATACTGGTACAAGAACAGACACATAGACCAATGGAGCAGTATAGAGAAACCAAAAATAAGACCACACACCTACAAGAATCTGATCTTCAACAAACGTTACAAAAACAAGCAATGGGGAAAACATTCCCTATTCAATAAGTGGTGCTGGAATAACTGACTAGCCATGTGCAGAAGGTTGAACCTGGACCCCTTCCTTACACCATATACAAAAATTAACTCAAAATGTATTAATGACTTAAATATAAATCCCAAACTATAAAAATTCTGAAAACAATCTAGACAATACCATTCAGGATGCAGGCACAGGCAATTATTTCATGATGAAGATGCCAAAAGCAAATGCAACAAAAGCAAACATTGAAAAATGGAATATAGTTAAAGCTAACAAGCTTCTGCATGGCAAAAGAAACTCTCAACAGAGTAAACAGACAACCTACAGAATGGGAAAAAAGTTTTTCAAACTATGCATCTGAGAGAGGTCTAATATCCATTATCGATAAGGGACTTAACCACATTTACAAGAGAAAAACAAACCACCCCTTTAAAAAGTGGGCAAATGATATGAACAGACACTTCTCAAAAGAAGACATACATGAGGCAAACAAGCATATGAAAAAAAGCTCAACATCACTCATCATTAGAGAAATGCAAGTCAAAACCATAATGAGATACCATCTCACATCAGTCAGAATGACTATTATTAAAAAGTCAAAAAATAACAGCTGCCCGTAAGGTTGTGGAGAAAAAGGAACACTTATACACTGTTGGTGGGAGTGTAAATTAGTACAGCCATTGTAAAATACAGTGTGGTGATTCCTCAAAGACCTTAGAGGCAGAAATACCATTCAACCCAGCAATCTAATTACTGGGTATATATCCAAAGGAATATAAGTTGTTCTATTATGAAAACACATGCTTGCATATGCTCATTGCAGAACTATTCACAATAACAAAGACATGGAATCAACTTAAATGTCCACCAGTGATAGACTGGATAAAGAAATTGTGGCATATATACACCATGGGATATTATGCAGATATAAAAAAGAATGAAATCATTTCCTTTTCAGGAACATGGATGAAGCTGGAGGCCATTATCTTCCACAAACTACCGCAGCAACAGAAAACCAAATACTGCATGTTCTCACTTATAAGTGGGAGCTAAATGATGAGAACACATAGAGGGCAACAACACACAGTGGGTCCTATCAGAGGGTGGAAGGTGGGAGGAGAGAGAGGATCAGGAAAAATAACTAATGGGTACTAGTCATAATACCTGGGTGATGTAATAATCTGTACCAAAAAATCTCACGACACATGTTTACCTACGTAACAAACCTGCACATGTAACTCTGACATCTAAATTTAGAAGTTAAAAAAAGAAAGAAAAGAACAAACCAACCATATATAATAATCACAGAAAAAAGCAATAAATGTTAATATGGTGAAAGCCTACTGGCATCTGAAAAGAAAAAATGAAAGCATCCTAACTGGAAAAAAAAAAAGAAGAAGAAATCTAATATCTCTTCACCGAAGATCTCATTCTATGCCTAGAAAACACTAATGACTGCCAGAAGACTCCTGGAACTGATGGAAAAGATAAACGACCTCTGTAAAATTTTGGAACACAAAATCAATGTACAAAAATCAGTAGTATTTTTATACACCAACAACATTCAAGCTGAGACTGAAATCGATAACAATGAAAGCAATCCCATTTACAGTAGCCACAAAAAAAAAAAAGCCTAGGAATACATCTACCCAAGGAATTGAAAGGACTGTACAAGCTGAACCAAAGAAAACTGCTGAAGAAAATTATAGATGGCACAAATAGAAAAGCATTCCACGATCATGGATATGAAGAATCAATATCATTAAAATAACAACATTGCCCAAAGCAAGCTACAGATTTAATGCTATTTTTATCAAACCACCAACATCATTTTCACAGAATCAGGAAAACCTGGTTTATAATTCATATGGAACCAAAAAAGAGCCTGAAATCCAAAGCAATTCCCAGCAAAAAGAACAAAGCCAGAGGCATCCCATTACATGACTTCAAACTATACTATAAGGCCACAGTAACCAACTCAGCATGATCCTGCTATAAAAACAGACAAATAGACCAATGAAACAGAATAGAGAACCCAGAAATAAAGCTGAACACCTATAGCCACATGATCGTAGACAAAGTTGGGAAAAAGTAAGCCATGGGGAAAGGACTCTCCATTTAATAAATGGTGCTGGGATAGCTAGCTAGTCATATGCAGAAGAATAAAACTGGATCCTTATCTTTCACCATATACAAAAATTAACTCAATATGGATTAATGATTTAAATCTAAGACCTCAAACTATAACAATTCTATATGAAAATCTAGGAGACACCGTTCTGGACATTGGCCTTGGGAAAGAATTTATAACTAAATACTCAAAAGCAATTGCAAGAAAAACAAAAATTGGCAAGTGAGACCTAATTAAACTAAAGAGCTTCTCACCACAAAAGAAACAATCAACAGAATAAACAGAAACAACCTACATAATGGGAGAAAATATATTTAAACTATGCATCTGACAAAGGTCTAATATCCAGAATCTATAAGGAACTTAAACAATTCGACAATCAAAAAACCCCAATAACCCCATTAAAAATGGGCAAAATACATGAATAGACACTTCTCTGAAGAACACACACAAGTGGCCAAAAACCACATGAAAACAATGCTTTAACATTGCTAATCATCAGAGAAATGCAAATCAAAGCCACAATGAAATACCATCTCACACCTGTCAGTATGGCTTCTATTAAATAGTAAAAGAAAAAGACAAAAAAAGATGTTGGTGGGGTTGCAAAGATAATGGAATGCTTATGCACTGTTGGTTGGAATGTGAATTAGTTCAGCCACTGTGGAAAGCAGTTTAGAAATTTCTCAAAGAACTTATAGCAGAACTACCTTTGACCCAACAATCCTGTTACTATATATATGCCCAAAGGAAAATAAATCATTCTACCAAAAAGACACATAAACTTGTATGTTCATTTCAGCACTATTCACAATAGCAAATACATGGAATTAACCTAGGGGCCCATCAACACTGGATTGAGTAAAGAAAATGTGGTACATATACACCATGGAATACTATGCAGCCATAAAAAGAACAAAACCATGTCCTTTGCAGCAACATGGATGCACCTGAAGGCCATTATCCTGAGCTAATTAACAGTGGAAAAGAAATCTAAATACCACATGTTCCCATTTATAAGTGGGAGCTAAATGTTAGTTACTCATGGACATAACGATGGCAACAGTACACACTAGGAACTAATAGAGGGGGAAATAAAGAAGGGGGCAAGGGTAAAAAAATTAACTGTTGGGTCTGTGCTCACTCTCTGGGTGATGGAATCATTCGTATCCCAAACCTCAGCATTACACAATATACCAATGTCGCAAACCTGCACATGTATCCTCTGAATCTAAAATACAACTGGAATTATTTTTAGAAATACTTCAAAGAAAAAAAGTTGGATGTCATTATGAACTCTGTGCATGTCTACTCACATATAATAACTTTAGAGCCTTCCTCTGAAAATTTAAATCATCTTACTGTTAATTTAACCACACACTATTGACTTCTTAGAAGTGTTTACAACAAAGTTTACAGGGTGTATTTTGTATCACTATTTCTTTTAAAATGCCATATAGCCATTGCCTACTAAATCTCACAGTGGTGACCTATGTTAATTTGTCACATCAGTGCCTGTTGTTTTTATACAAGTTTTAGTTGCATGGTTCTGTCTTAAAACTAGACTTATGAAATGAAACATTGCATTTTTAAATCTAATTTTCAATTCCCTTTGAATTCAGACCTTCCTTATACTGCCATCTTCTGGAAATATCTGGTCTTGAACAACTTCTCAATTTATTTAGTCATGTCTTGCTAGTCTGTTAGTGATGAGTTTCTAGGTGTAAGTTTTGCCCTCCCCAGTGTCTTTTCTTATAGACTGCACTCTGAGTAATCACCTGTCAAAAAGCATGCAGATTTTTTATAGTGCCTCATGACTTCATCTTTGGGCAGTGGGATCAACAGAGACATTTTGAAAGAAAATGGCCAATATTTACCTTTTTTTTTTCTATAGTCATTTCGAGACTGGTTATAACCAGGTTATAACCTAGTTATAAGGCTGAGTGAAGTAGACATAATTTTATGTACTGTCAAACGTAATTCAGCTAAAATCTGATAACTAATTTTCTTAGAGGATCATAGAGGAAAAACTCAATGAAAATGGGAAAATAAATATTCATTTCATCAGGCTTGGTTTTAGATGATAGCCCCTAGCAGTGTGGCAAAGTAGAAGAATATCAAGTCCGGGAGTCCAGAGACTGGGCTTTTAAGTCTTATGTTAACTGTGTAGCCCTGTACAAGCCAATTCTCTCTGGGCCTCAGCTTCCACATATGTAAAATAAGAGAATAGAACTAGGTGATCTATAAGTTCACTACAGACTCTCACATTCTGTAGTCTTCTGAAAGGTAAAGATGACATTGTGATTAATCCTATCCAGTGAAAGTAGGCTGTTTTATCAAAATGGTATTGCTGAGCCTTACTGAGATGGGCAAAATTACACATAAAGGTTTGCCCATGACTGCTACTGAAAGACAATATATTGATAATAATGAGTCTGTGTATGAAACTTGACTGTGGTTATGTTTTATGTCAAATACAAGTTTTCTGATTCTCTTTCAGTGTTTCTACCCTTTTGTTGCATTCTAGTATTAGAAGCTCCAGTCATGCTATGTGAACACAGGTCAGCTTTACACATTAGTAGCCAACTAGGAAGCAGGATTTGGGGGTAACAGATCCAAGAGACCTGTGGTTTGAAACCTTGTTAAATCCTGATAAAACATGCTTGCTAACATATACATGAAGTCTTTTTCAGTAAATAAAACCTTAATTTTAGATCATTTATAATTTCTCTAGTACAGCAGGTTTTTAAAGGACATTGGACCATGAGATACAAGAGCCAGCAGGAAGAACAGGGAGGTCCAAGGTACTCAGCCATTGAGGAAAAAAATGACCACAATCAGTCAGATATAGAGATTTGGAGAAGTAAAAATTGTGCATACAATTATCATTTCATGAAGCTTGAGTATTAAGTGAAAGAGAAACCAGAGTATCAGGAACAATAGAGATGGCCCCAATTTTTAAAGTCATCAGGCCCTAAGATCTTTACAGTCATCCAACCCCACAATGTAACCTGGGCAGGAGACCAATAAATCTATGTAAGACTACATAGCTGAGATTCAATCACCAGAGGTCAGCACTGAGAAGTCATGTGCTGGATGTTAACAGGCTGCTTTGTGTCCAAGCTAGCCAGATCCCAGATCTGCAGCTGAGTACATCCACTAGGAAGTGCAGTCACTGCCTTTGGACACTGCACTGCATTCAAAGAATTGAATATAATCCATCCGGACTTTTGATGGCTCTATGTACAGATTAGGTATTTCTAATTCAAAAATCTGAAATCTGAAATGCTCCAAAATCTGGAATTTTTGGAGCACCAACATGATGCTCAAAGGAAATGCTCATTGGAACATTTTGGATTTCAGATATTTGGATTACTAATGCTCAACCAGTGTAATAGAAATTATTCCAATATCCAAAAAAGTTGAAATTCTAAACATTTCTGGTCACAAGCATTTT
Organism: Homo sapiens; assembly: GCF_000001405.40. NCBI lineage: Eukaryota > Metazoa > Chordata > Mammalia > Primates > Hominidae > Homo > Homo sapiens. Next base: position 85,610,300 of record NC_000023.11, on the reverse strand, counting down.
GGATAAGAGGTACTCAACCTATATTAATAGTTTCCTAGAGCAGCTATAACAAAGTACCACAAACTGGGTAGCTTAAAACAACAAAACTATTCTATTACAATTCTGGAGGGTAAATGTTCAAAATCAAAGGGACTGCAGGGATATGCTCCCTTTGAGAGTCCAGATAGAATTCCTTTTTGCCTCTTCCTATCTTCTGGTGATAGGATCAATCATTGTGTTCCTTGGCTTGCAGCTGCATCACTCCAATCTCTGTCATCACATGACATTCTCCATATGTACCTTTCTCTGTGTCTTCTCTTCTAATAAGGACACCAATCATACTATATTAAGGGCCTGCCATACTCCAGTATGACCTCATCTTAACTAATTACATTTGCAATGACCTTATTTTCCAATAAGATCACACTCTGAGTTACTAGGGGTTAGGATTTCAAGATATCTTTTTGAGGGACACAATTCAATCCCTAACACCCTCCATCAAACAAGGTACTCTCCAATAGGAGACTATTTGCAGAAAAAGATTGGCTTCTTCATCTACTGGACTCTCAGTGTTTTGGGAACATATTGTGGGTCTAGATTTGATGCCTGACTTGTCAGCTTGGCCTCATCAACCCACCCATTTTCCCCACATACTTGTATACAAAACTCTCCATTAAGGGTGGTTGATGCCCTCATACAAAAGGCAAACTTCATCCCCTACACTGACTCCTGGTCTTCATTAGCCACCACCATCCTACTTCTCAATACATTGCCACCATTTGTATTCTAGTTTTGGAAGGCATGATTTAAGTTCTTAAAGTTCAAGTACACATAAAGTCTACCCATCACCCACAGACCTATGCTCAAACAGAATGTATACTTGAGAAATACTTCCTATGTGCCATCTCCTGCTGAAAACACTGCTGTTGTCTTTATCTAATCTAACCGCAGAAAAATTCGTGGCTAAGACTTGCCTGTATTTCTCCATCCAGATGACCTCCTACTGCAATAACCATGGATTTCATTCCCACTGCTTCCTCCATATTCCTGACCATATTTACACCCAAGCAGCTAGTCAGTACTTAAGAAAGCTGTAGCTATTCAGCAGTCTAGAAGAAAGTCTTGAATACTATTAGAGGCTATTTTAAGGGTTTTATGACATAATGGATATAAAACACCTAGTACCTTACTTTGAGCACATGGTAGTAATTAAACAAATAGTCATTTTAAAGCTATTATTGTTTCCCTACTTTTGTATTAAAAAAACTCCCTCTGAAGATCATGTTATCTAGCTATACTACCTCTAATCTCTCCTCTTTGCTGTCTTCCTTAGACTTCCTGGGCAATTTCCACATTCACTGAGGACATTAGTACTTTGGATCATCAAATCTCTGTCCACATCTTTTCTAGACATCGTCCAGGACAAACTCAATATTTATTTAATTATTCCAATTAATAATTTAGCTTTACCAGTACCCTTGATCACCTCAACACCAAAGATTTTCATTTTCAAAGTCATAAATTTCTATTACTCTACCTTAAATCTTGAAAATTCATCTCTGGAAATTTAAGCTCCAGTACTCCATGTTCGGACTATGATTTTTCATTCTTCCAGTCATCTCCTTCATTTATTATCACCTCATCTAAGCTTCTACTGGGACCCCCTTTCCCTGGACGTGGGTCACTATTGATCAGCTCACTTATACATTCACTTCCTTCTCTATCTGGTCTAAATCCAATAATCTATTATTTGTTGATTAAACAAATATTTTAAGTGTGACTACTATCTATATGGTAAGCACTGTTTGTACATAGCAGTGAAGGTAAAAATCCACACCTTCATAGAGCTTGCATTCTTATGAAAAGAAACAAACAATTAAAACATAAACAAATGGCAATGTATCAGGAAATGCTAAGTGCTGTGGAGAAAACCAAACAGAGACAGAGGTATATGGAGTACCGGTACTGGGGGAATGTACTCCTAAAAAGAGATTTTTGATAAGGTGACATTTAAGGATGACTTAAAGAAAGTAAGAGAGTAGTGATTTCAAATTCCTGATGCATATTAGTCTTTGGAGTCCAGATGAATAAATTGGAATTCCTGGGGATTCTCAGAAATTCAAAAAATCAGAAGATAGTATTTTTCATAACACTTTTCTTGTGTGTTTTTTATGAATTACCATAACGTATAAATCACTTTTCTCTGATACTAAAAATTTCAGAGCCTTTCTGCAAAATAAAAACCAATATAATCATACATGCACGGGTTATTATTATTATGAACCAATATATTGTGTAAAATTTATATATTTCAAATAGATAATTGGTAATATTAAAAGAAGGGACCATTAACACAAAAAAAGTCAAATAAAAATTATTTAAAAACTTGAAAGATGACACAAATATTTAGTACTTTAAAGATAGCATTTTTAAAATAAATTACAAACAGATTACATTAACTACTCTATCTTGATTTTTGTTTTATGACAAATATTCTAGAAATAGAAAAATATCATGCTTTGATATTGGTCAAATTTTTAAGAGTGCATCTAAAAAGATCTTCAAGTAAGCATCGGATACTTGTTGATTCATATAAACTCACTTCCTTTTTCAATGACCAGTGTATTTTGTCTGTTTGCCTGATTTTGGTTTTGCCATTGAGATCAACATTATTTTTGCTACTTCAGATTTTAGTCAAGTTTCTTCTCCCTGTAACTCTTCTGTTGAAGTATTGACCAAAACACCTATACTCTGTGGCAAATATCCCAATACTGGAAAATGCCAGTGATGATTATTGGGTAAGAGTTGAATGGCATGGCATTCAGGTCCACCTAGCAAGGTTAGCAGCACTACATAGAATCACATGTTGAAATTGCCAGTTATAAACTTATGTTGCTTGTAAGACTAGTTATTTATTGGAATTTCACCAATAGGATCTGTACATGTTTAAACTGATTAATATTTATTTTATTTGCTGGAATGACTAACCATTTGCTGTAGACAGGGCCACAAACACAATTATGACAACAGCCATAAGCAAGACTGACTGATTAGACTGTGGCTTTTTTTTCTCTTATGTGCTCTTGTCCTGTACTGAGAAATGTCAGCATTAACCTTCAACTCCAAATATCAGCATTTCCTGCTTTTGCTTTGATATCAGTGTATTTCTCCCTACCAGTTATGTCACTTTATTTCATTAAGCTTTAATTGTCACAAGGGAATTAAATATTTTCTCACCCTTCTCAACTTCTTGACTATTTTTTTCTCAGAACTAAGAATTTTGAAAAAACATGCAAATATCCTGAGACATTAAGAGAAGGAATTGCCATATGGAAACACTATGAGGGAGCAATCCGTGAGCATGTCTGTGGGAAGAGTGTTCCAGCGAGAGGGAACAGAAAGTTTAAAGGTACTGCAATAGGAACATTCCTAGCATGTTGAAAAAACAGAGAAAAGATATTTTAGCTGGAGTGTAGTAAGTAAGAGGGAGAATAGTGGGAGATGGTATTAGAGACATAATGTATGTGACAGAAACCTAGAGACTTAATCATAAAGAGAATGTATGAGGGAGAAAGGAAGGGAGGAAGACAGAGAATATAAATTTGAGTTGTGGGAAAATGTAGTCAAGAACTATAAATAGGTTTTGGTATGGAACAAGAATAACAGCATTGCCATTAACTGAGATGCAAAAGACTGTTGATGGAGCAAGAATTTGAGGGAAGGTAAAAGTGTTAAGAGCCTCTGGAACTGTTTTAGAACATGTTAATTTTAAAATACTTACTTATATAGTTTGGATATTTGTCCCCTCCAAATCTCATGTTGAAATGTGATTACCAATATTGGAGGTGGGGATTGGTAGGAAGTCATTGGATCATGGGGTGGATCCCTCATGAATGGCTTAGCACTATCCCCTTAGTGACAAGTGAATTCTCACTCATTTAACATGAGATCTGGTTGCTTAAAAGAGTCTGAGACCTTACCCCTCTCTGTCTTGCTCCCTCTCTTGCCATGTAACATGCTAGTTCCCCTTCATCTTCTGCCATGATTGAAACCTTCCTGAGGCCATCACCAGAAACATATGCTGGCACCATGCTTTCCATATAGCTTGCAGAACCATGAAAAGCTTGAAAGATTTGCAGGCTGGCCCTGTGGTAGGGAAAGAATTCAAGCATCCTGTGGAGCAACCCCTTGCTGGAAAGATTAGTATGGCTGAAAGGGAGCCAAATACTTATATCCAGGAAAATGGGAAAAGACCTCAAAGCCATTTCAGAAATCTTTGGGACAACCCCTCCCATTACACACTCAGAGGCCTAGAAGGAAATAATTGTTTCAGGGGCAAGGCCAAGGTCTCTCCATTCTTGTGCAGCCTCAGGACACTACTTCCCACACCCTGACCACTCTGGTTCCAGGCTTGGCTCAAAGAGGCCCAAGTATAGGTTTGGCCATTACTCTGGAGGGTGCAAGCCATTAGCCTTGGTGGCTTCCACGTGGTGTTAAGCCTTCAGGTACACAGAATGCGGGAGTAAAACAAGCTTGACAGCTTCCACCGAGATTTCAAGGATGTATTGGAAAGCCTGCATGCCCAGGCAGAAGCCTGTCTCAGGGGCAGAGTCCCCACAGAGAGCCTCTACTAGGGCAATGGAGAGGGGAAAGGTGTTTGAGCCCATATACAGTGTCCCAACCAGGGCACTGCCTAGTGGAGCTATGGGTAGAGGGCTGCCACGATCTAGGCCCAAGAATGGTAGAGCCAATGGCAGCGTGCATCCTCAGCCTGGATAAGATACAGGCACTGGACTCCAACCCATAATAGCAGCTGCATAGGCTGCATCCAGCAAAGCCATGGGGGTGGAGATGCCCAATGCCTTGGGAGCCCAGCCCTTGCACCAATGTGCCCTGGATGTGGGACATGGAATAAAAAGTTACTTTGGAGCTTTATGATTTAATGACTTCTCTGCTAGGTTTCAGACTTGTGTGAGGTCTATTTCTCATTTCTCTTGGTTGATTTATCCTTTTTGGAATGGGAATATTTACTCAAAGCCTATACCACCATTGTATCTTGGGAATAAATAACTTGTTTTCGATCTCATAGGCTCTCAGGTGGAAGGAAATAATCTTTAGATGAGACTCTAGACTTGAGACATTTGAGTTAATGCTTGGATGAGTTGAGACTTTGGAGGTCTATTGAGAAGGCGTGATTGTATTTTGCAGTATGAGAAGGACATGAGATTTGGGGAGCCAGAGGCAGGATATTATGGTTTGGGTGTTTGTCCTCTCCAAATCTCATGTTGAAATATGATTCCCACTGTTGGAGCTGAGGCCTAGTGGGAGGTTATTGGATCATGGGGGTAGATTCCTCATGAATCGCTTCTCACCATCCATTTGGTGATAAGTGAGCTCTCACTCAGTTCACATGAGATCTGGTTGTTTAAACGAGTCTGGGACCTCCTCTTCTCTCTCTTCCTCCTTCTCTCATTGTGTGACATGCTTGTTCCTCTTTGCCTGCCACTATGATTTTAAGCTTCCTGAGGTCCTCATCAGAAGCAGATGCTGGCATCATGCTTCCTGTACAGCCTGCAGAACCATGAACTAAAATTAACCTTTTTTCCTTATAAGTTATCAGCCTCAGTTATTTTTTATAGCAATGCAAAAATGCCCTAACACACCTATAATATATCCAAGTGGAGATGTTTAATGGTAAACTGGATATTTAAGTCTGGAATTCAGGGAAGAGGTGTAGGCTAGAGATAAAAATTTGAGAATCATAAGGATATAGATGATATTTAAAGCCATGCAACTGGATGAGCTCTCCAAGGAAACAGAGATAAATAGAAAAGAGAAGATGTTCCAGGACTGATCCCTAGGACTCTGAAAAATTTAGAGGTCAGAGTCATAAATAAGAGTGTCTAGCAAAGCGGAAGGAAAACCAGGAGAACCTGGTTTCTGGGAGAGGCTGGGAGCAACATGAAGAAAGTATGTCAAAAAGGAGGGATTGAACAAATATATCAAATGGTATTAACTTGTTATGTAAATTGAGGAATGAAAATTGATTATTGTGTTTAACCATATGGTGACCTTGACAAGAGCAGTTCAGTGAGTGGGTAGGGACAAAAGGCCTATTGGAGAAGGTTTAAGGGAGAATTGAAAGAGAGGAAATGAAGACAGTGAGTATAGACAATTCGTTCAAGAATTTTTGTTGAAAAGGGAGCAGAGAAATGGGACTAATTCTTTTATACCACCATTCTTTTCCATTTACCCCAATGAAAAAACTAAAATCTTGAAAAAAATCAAACTATTCAAACTCTGTTCTTATTCCTGAGCTGCTAGACCCCATTGGAGGAAAGCATGCAGTCATGCTGATTGATACCACCAGATATTCATGGTCTTCAACTTTAACTGGGCCCCAAACACATCAAGGCATCCTTTATGCACAACCTAAACAGTTTTTACTCACAGGAAATTTTACTTTTTCTTTCAAACTCCCCCAATCTTGATTTTCCACTCTCACTTAATTCCCATAAGTAATCAATTACCAAATATTGTTGATTCAACAATTACAGCTCCATCGTCACCTCCTTAATGAGTTAGATCATGCTAATGAAGTGACATACTTGTCTGGGGTAAATACCCAGGGTTCATATTCTCACGCCAAGAATATTAAGGACATGAACACGTGTAAGTGGTTAAGGAGCAAAAAGTTTAATAGGCAGAAGAAAGGAGAGAGGAAAGCAGCTCTCTCTTGCAATGGAGACGTGTCTGAAAGGGAAGCGCCAGCCTGCAGCATACTGCAGCAGATTCTATAGGCAGGCTTCAGGAGGTGGTGTCTGATTTATGTAGGACCTACAGATTGGTTCAACCAGGTGTGACGTTTACATAGCATGTTGGGGAGGCTGGTTGCCCCACCCTAATCTTATTATGCAAATGAGGTTTCCACTTGGCCAGTGCCAACTTGTGTGCTCCTTACTGTACACATGGCTAGCAAAGAGAAGGGAAGATGGAGCCGCCACTTTTATCATGCCTAGTTCCAGGTAGTCTTTTCCTATTGGCACAACTGCCGGCATTCATCTGTGCAAGCTTCCAGCTTGTTTGTGTATGTCTGCAGCTCGATTTTACAGATTTCTCTTTGTTAGAAAAGAAAATGATTTGGGGACTGCTTTTCATTAAAAGGAAAACCTTACCAAGGACTCTTACCCTCACTATCTGCCTAAATAATTTCTTTTTAACTCCTATAGCCCTAGTTTATTAATGGAATTATAACAGTAACCTATCTGCCTTTAGTTTATCTCCTCTATAATGCATTTGTCCCACTGCTGCCAGAGTGGGATTTCTAAAACACAAATGTAATCATATCACTCTATGGGTTTTTTTTAATATAAATTTAGGGTGTACGGTGAAGTTTTGTTACATGAATGTATTGCATAGTGGTGAAGTCTGGGCTTTTAGTGTAACCAACACCCAAATAATGTACATTGTATCCATTAAGTAACTTCTCATCCCTCATCCTCCCACCTGCTCACCCTTCTGAATTTCCAATGTCTATTATTCTACACTCTATATCCTTGTGTACACATTATTTAGCTCCCACTTATAAGTGAGAATATGCATTATCTGACTTTCTCTGAGTTATTTTACTTAAGACAATGGACTCCAGTTCCATCAATGTTGCTGCAAAAGACATTATTTTATTCTTTTTTATGGCTAAGTAGTATTCCATGGTATTTATGTGTGTGTGTGTGCGTGTGTATATATTTATTTATATATAAACATATATATGTATACATTTGTGTGTGTGTGTGTGTTCATTACATTTCCAGTCATCTGTTTATGGACATGTACATTGATTCCACATCTTTGCATTGTGAATAATACTGCTATAAACATATGAGTACAGGTATCTCTTTGATATAATGATTTCTTTTTATTTGGGTATATAAGCTTTCAAATTTAACATCTAAGTTCCTTTATGTATAACACATGCTGTTCATTAATTTATCCATTCAAAAATATTTCCTGGGGCCCTATTCTGCTTCAGGTTCTGTATTGGTTGCTGAGGGCACTGAAGTAGGTACATCTTGATGTCATCTTCAGGGATCTCATAACCCACTTTTATTTCTGTATTACTCTTGAATACCCATAAATTCTTATAGTCAGACCTTATTGCTTGGGGTTCTCAAAATATATCTTACTGTTTCAATGACTTTAGCTTTTCTCTACCTAAAATATCATCTCTGTTTCTTCAGATCCTGTTTATTTTCTTTAAAATTCAACTGAAACATCACATCCTCATGAAAAACATTCTCATTTACTTGTCCTTTCTCTGTCTTCCTGTAGCACTCTGTGTTTACCTCTATCATAATGTTCATCTTACTGTACTGACAAAATTTATTTATCTGTTTCCCTTAGTGAGACTGTGAGCTCCTTGGGGAACTGGGTCTTTTTTTTTCTTTGTATCCCCACCACTTAGCCTAGTGCCTAATATATAATACATGATCCATAAATGTTTAAAAACATGAATACATCAAGGAAAATGTAGCATGCTTTGCTTAATTTCATTAAACTACATCTGTTCCACCTGTAGAGTAGCTTTTTGAATCCTAATTCTTTCGTTCTGCCTTTTGGCTTTCTTTCCAAGTCTTTCATAAGTCTGACCTCTATGCCTTCTAGTGGACCTTACTCTAGATTTAACCAATCCATGAATCACCACTTTTTGGTAATGGTCTTCCAGTTATTAACCTACTAGGCAATGATATTATCCAGATCAGCTTATCCCAGGACCTTATCAAACACCTTGATGAAATCTAGGTATTCTTTATTTATAGCATTTGTATCACCAACCTGTGTAGTGACCCTGTCAAAAAGGAAATGATGTTTTATTGACCTCTAAATTTGTCACCCTTATTAAAATCTACATTGCTTTTCCACATTTTATTCTCATTGGAGTCTCTCTCATCTATTTCTGAACACAGCGAAGGTCATGTTTTCCCAGCAATGCCTCATATTTGTGCCTTTTATAACACTGTTCCCTCTGTCAATAAAACTCAGTTCAAAATTCAAAATTATTGTTCAAAATTCAACTTCTTCCCTGAACACTTTCAAGAATCTGATCCCTTATTTCACCTATTATGATGAGGTAAAATGGTATTGTCCCTGACATTTTTTTCTGTAGTTTAGGAAATAAAATGAGAGATTTGGGAGAAGCAATTTCTCCTGGCTTCTCTCACTGTCAATTACAGAGCAGGAATAGACAAAGATCTTTTAGTATAACAAAGTCAGAATTAATAGTTCACCTAATGTTTAAAATATTCAAATATGTCATATAAGCCAAGTGGGACTTAGGAAAAAATGGTTCATTCTAAGGTGTCAAATGTGTTGTACACTAATTAGGAGACAACATGCTTATATTCCTACTCCTACCCCTACCCATACCCACAGGAGATATTAAGAGAAAACACCTTGAGAGACAGAAAGAGGGGATAGAAATCTATCACATGGATTATAATCTTGCATCATATAACGTATAAACTACTTTGTAATATAGTAAGTTATTTTAATGTTAATTGCACACCTCAACTCCCCACACACGGTAGAATTTACAATGCTTGAGTTGCAATATTGTGTCATAATCACTGTTATGGAATTATTTCATTCCTGAACATGCTTCTAAGATAATTTAATTTCTATGTGATTCTTTGAGTTTACAGTTTAAAAATTGGAAGCAAGCTTTCAGTCTGGAAGTTTCAATACTATTATGTCTGCTATACAAGTGGCAATGTCAACAATCATGAAAGAAAGCCACTAAAAAAAAATCTAAGATGTTTCATAAAGCTTTAGGAAAGTTTCTACTTGATGATACTACCTTAATATATGCTTACAGATTAACGTAATACCTTGACCTTTCTTCTTCTAAATTTAAATCCTGGTTCTGTCACTTACTAGCTGTGCACTCTCTGGCAAATTACTTATACTTTCCCAATGTCAGTTTCTTTATCAATTTAAGTGGTATCATACTTCTTCCCTCAAAATATTGTGATAATAATTGAATGAGATAATGTATGTGTAGCAGAGTAAGCAAATTATTTAAACAAATTATTTAAACTCCACCTCGAATATAGCCCCTGCCTCCTAAGGTATGTATGGTGGGGGAGAGGGTTAGTGGTAGTATAAGTTTCTATCAGTTAAAGATTTTGTTTTTATTCTCTTCCCATTGGTATTAGTTTCCTGTTACTTCTGTAACAAATTATCACAAACTTGGTAGGTTAAAAGAACACACATTTATTCTCTTGCAATTCTGGAGATCAGAAGTCCAAAATCAGTATCTCTGGGCTGAAATCAAGGTCTTAGCAGGGCTTGCTCCTTTCGCAGGCTGCAGGAGAGAATTCTTTTCTTGGCTCTTTCAGTTTCTTGTGCCTGTTGGTATTCTTTTGAATGTGGCTATATCACTTCAATCTTCAAATTTTTTCATTTATTTCAGTAGGTTTTTGGGGAACAGGTGGTGTTTGCTTACATGGATAAGTTCTTTAGTGGCTATTTCTGGGATTTTGGTGCACCCATCACCGGAGCAGTGTACACTGTACCCAATGTGTAATCTTTTATCCTTCTCCCCTCCCCCACCCTCCCCCCAAGTCCCCACAATCCATTGTATCATTCTCATGCCTTTGCATTCTCATAGTTTAGCTCCCACTCGTAAGTGAGAACATACAATGTTTGGTTTTCCATTTCTGAATTACTTCATGTAGAATAATGGTTTCCAACTCCATCCGGGTTGCTGTGAATGCCATTAATTAATTCCTTTTAATGACTAAGTAGTATTCCATGGTGTATATAACCACTGGTTGACTGATGGGCATTTGGGCTTGTTCCATATGTCTGCAGCTGTGAATTGTGCTGCTATAACTTTTTCATATATTGATTTCTTTTCCTCTGGGTAAATATCCAAGAGTGGGATTGCTGGAACAAATGGTAGGTCTACGTTTAGTTCTTTAAGAAATCTCCACACTGTTTTCCATAGTAGTTGTACTAGTTTACTTAGTTTACTTACCACAAGCAATGTAAAAGTGTTCCCTTTTTACCACATCCATGCCAACATCTACTACTTCTTGATGTTTTTAAATGATGGTCACTCCTGCGGGAGTAAGGTGGTATCACATTTTGGTTTTCATTTACATTTCCCTGATAATTAGTGATGTTGAGCATTTTTTAAATATGTTTAGTGGTCATTTGTATAACTGCTTTTGAGAATTGTCTATTCATGTCCTTATCCCACATTTGATGGGATTTTTTTTTCTTGCTAATTTGTTTGAGTTCCTTGTAGATTCTGGATATTACTCCTTTGTTGGATGCATAGTTTGCAAAGATTTTCTCCCACTCTGTGGGTTGTCTGCTTATTCTGCTGATTATTTCTTTTGCTGTACAGAAGTTTTTAGTTTAACTAAGTTCTATCTATTTATTTTTGTTTTTGTTGAATTTGCTTTTGGGTTTTTGGTCATGAAGTCTTTGCCTTAGCCACTGTCTAGAAGGGCTTTTCTGATGTTGTCTTCCGGAATTTTTATGGTTCCAGGTCTTAGATTTAAGTCCTTGATGCATCTTGATTTTTGTATAAAGTGAGAGATGAGGAACTAATTTCATTCTTCCACATGTGGCTTGCCAATTATCCAAGCACCATTTGTTGAATAGGGTGTTCTTTCCCCACTTTATGTTTTTGTTTGCTTTGTCAACAATCAGTTAGGTTTAAGTATTTGGCTTTATTTCTGGGTTCTGTATTCTGTTCCATTGATCTATGTGCTTATTTTTATGCAGTGTCATGCTGTTTTAGTGACAATAGCCCTGTAGTATAGTTTGAAGTCTGGTAATGTGATGCCTCTAGATTTGTTCATTTTGCTTAGAATTGCCTTGGCTACGTGGGCTCTATTAGGGTTCCACATGAATTTTAGGATTTTTTTTCTAGTTCTGTGAAGAATGAAGATGCTATTTTGATGGGAATCACATTAAATTTGTAGTTGGTTTTGGCAGTATGACCATTTTCACAATATTGATTCTACCCTTTTATGAGCATGGGATGTGTTTTCTTTGTTTGTACTATCTATAATTTCTTTTAGCAGCGTTTTGTAGTTTTTCTTTTAGAGGTCTTTCACCTCCTTGGTTAGGTATATTTTTAAGTATTTTATTATATTCTTTGCAGCCATTGTAAAAGAGGTGAGTTTCTATTTATTTATTTGTTTACTGAGACAGAGTCTCACTCTGTCACCCAGGCTGGAGTGCAGTGGCACAACCTCGGCTCACTGCCAGCTCCACCTCCCGAGTTCACGCCATTCTCCTGCCTCAGCCTCCCAAGTAGCTGGGACTACGGGTGCCCACCACCACACCTGGCTAATTTTTTGTATTTTTAGTAGAGACGGGGTTTCACTGTGTTAGCCAGGATGGTCTCAATCTCCTGACCTCGTGATCCGCCTGCCTCAGCCTCCCAAAGTGCTGGGATTACAGGCATGAGCCACCACACTCAGCCAATAGGTTGAGTTATTAATTTAAGTCTCAGCTTGGTCACTGTTGGTGTATAGCAGGGCTACTGATTTTTGTATATTAATTGTGTATCCTGAAACTATGCTGAATTCACTTTATCAGTTATAGGAGTTTTTTGGATGAGTCTTTAGGGTTTTCTAGGTATACAATCATATCATCAGTGAACAGTGACAGTTTGACTTCCTCTTTACTGATTTGGATGTCCTTTATTTCTTTCTCCTGTCTGATTGCTTTAGCTAGGACTTCCAGTACTATGTTGAATAGAAGTGGTGAAAGTGGGCATCCTTGTCTTGTTCCAGCTGTCAGGGGGAATGCTTTCAACTTTTCCCTATTCATTATTTTGGCTGTGGGTTTGCCATAGATGGCTTTTATTACCTTAAGGTATGCCCCTTCAACACAGATTTTTCTGAGGGTTTTAATCATAAAGGGAAGCTGAATTTTTGTCAATGCCTTTCCTGCATGTATTGAGATAATCATATGATATTTGTTTAAATTATCTTTATGTGGTGTATCACATTTATTGACTTGTATGTGTTAAGCCATCCCTGCATCCCTTGTATGAAACCCACTTGATCATGGTGGATTATCTTTTTAATATGCTGTTGGATTCAGTTAGCTCATATTTTATTGGGAATTTTTGCACTTATGTTCATCAGGGATATTGGTTTGTAGTTTTCTTTTTTTACGTCTTTTCCTGGTTTTGGTATTAGTGTGATACTGGCTTCATAGAATGATTTAGGGAGAAGTCCCTCTTACTCTATCTTTTGGAATGGTGTCAACAGGATTGGTACCAATTTTTTTTAATGTCTGATAGAATTCAGCTGTTAATCCATCTTTTCTTGGACTTTTTTGTTGTTGGCAATTTTTTTTATTAGCATTACATTCTCACTGCTTGTTATTGGTTTCTTCAGAGTTTCTATTTCTTTCTGGTTTAATCTAGGAGAGTTGTATGTTTCCTTGAATTTATTCATCTCCTCTAGGTTTTCTAGTTTGTGTGCATTAAGTTGTTAATAGTAGCCTTGAATGATCTTTTGTATTTCTCTGGTATCAGTTGTAATATCTCCTGTTTTATTTCTAATTGAGTTTATTTGGATTTACTCTCTTCTTTTCTTAGTTAATCTTGCTAATGGTCTATCAATTTTATTTGCCTTTTCAAAGAAAAAGCTTTTCGCTTCATTTATCTTCTTTTTTAGTTTTAATTTTATTTAGTTCTGCTCTGATTTGGTTATTTCTTTTCTTCTGCTGAATTTGGATTTGGTTTGTTCTTGTTTCTCTAGATCCTTGAGGTGTGACCTTAGATTATCAATTTATGCTCTTCAGACTTTTTGATGTAAGCATTTGATGCTATGGACTCTCCTCTTAGCACTGATTTGCTGTATCCCTAAGGTTTTGATATGTTGTGTCACTGCTATCATTCACTCCAAATAATTTTTAATTTTCATCTTGATTTCATTGTTGACCCAGTGATCATTCAGGAGCAGGTTATTTAATTTCCATCTGTTTATATGGTTTTGAGGGTTCCTTTTGGAGTTGATTTCCAGTTTTATTCCACTGTGGTCTGAGAGAGTACTTGCTATAATTTCGATTTTCTTAAATTTGTTGAGATTTGTTTTGTGGCCTATCATATGGTCTATCTTGGAGAATGTTTCATGTGCTGATGAATAGAATGCATATTCTGTAGTTGTTGGGTAGAATGCCGTGTAAATATCTGTTAAGTCCATTTGTTCTAGGGTATAGTTTACGTCTATGATTTCTTTGTTGACTTTCTGTCTTGATGACTTGTCGAGTGCTGTCAGTGGAATATTGAAGTCTCCCACTATCATTGTGTTGCCATCTATCTCATTTCCTAGGTCTAGTAGTAATTGTTTTATAAATTTGGGAGCTCCAGTGTTTGGTGCATATATATTTAGAATTGTGGTGTTTTCCTGTTGGACTAGATATTTTATTATTATATAATGTCTCTCTTTGTCTTTTTTAACTGTTGTTGCTTTAAAATCTGTTTTGTCTGATAGAATAGCTACTCCTGCTCACTTTTGGTGTCTATTTTCATGGAATATCTTTTTCCACCACTTTAAGGTTACATGTGTCCTTATATGTCAGGTGAGGCTCTTGAAGATAACAGATACTTAGTTGGTAAATTTTTATCTATTCTGCCATTATGTATATTTTAAGTAGGGCATTTGGGCCATTTACATTCGGCATTAGTATTGAGAAGTGAGGTACTATTCTATTCATCTTGCTATTTGTTACCTGAAAACCTTGTTTTTTTAAATTGTGCTATTGTTTTATAGGTCCCGTGAGATTTATACTCTAAGAAGATTTTGTTTTGGTGTATTTCAAAGTTTTGTTTCAAGACTTAGAGCTCCTTTCATCAGCTCTTGTAGTGCTAACTTGGTAGTGGTGAATTCTCTCAGTATTTATTTGTCTAAAAAGACTGTATATTTTCTTCTTTATTTATGAAGCTTGCTTTCACTGGATAGAAAATTCCTAGCTGATAATTGTTTAGTTTAAGGAGGCTAAAGATAAGACCTCAAGCCAGGCACGGTGGCTCATGCCTGTAATCTCAGCACTTTGGGAGGCTGAGGCAGGTGGATCACTTGAGACCAGACATCCAAGACCAGCCTGGCCAACATGTTGAAAACATATCTCTGCTAAAAAATACAAAAATCAGCCAGGCGTGGTGGTGCACACTTGCAATCCCAGCTACTCTGGAGGCAGAGGCATGAGAATCCCTTGAATCCAGGAGGTGGAGGATGCAGTGAGCCAAGATCATGCCACTGCACTCCAGCTTGGGCAACAGAGCAAGGCTCTGCTAAAAAGGTAAATATATAAAATAAATAATTTAAAAATAAAGATAGGACCCCTAACCCCTTCTAGTTTATAGGGTTTCTGCTGAAAAATCTGCTGTTAATCTGATCAATTTTTTTAATAGGTTACCTGATGCATTTGCCTCACAGCTTTTAAGATTCTTTCCTTCATCTTGACTTTGGATAACCTGATGACTATGTGCCTAAGCGATGATCTTTTTGTGACAAATTTCTAAGGTGTTCTTTGAGATTCTTGTATTTAGTTGTCTACATCTCTAGCAAAGCCAGGGACGTTTTCCTCAATTATTTCCTCAAATGTTTTTCAAAAATTTAGATTTTTCTTCTTCCTCAGGGACACCAATTATTCTGGCTTGGTCATTATTATAATCCCAAGCTTTTTGGAGGCTTTTTTCATTAAAAAAAAATTCTTTTTTTCTTTGTTTGTTTTGAATTGGGTTAATTCAAAAGTCCTGTCTTTGAGCTGGGAAGTTCTTTCTTCTACTTGTTTAATTCTATTGTTGAGACTTTCCAGTGTATTTTACATTTCTCTAAGTGTGTCCTTCTTTTCCAGAGGTTTTTAATTGTTTTTTATTTATGTTATCTATGTCTCTAGAGATTTTTCCATTCATATCCTGTAACATTTAAAAAATTTCTTTAACTTCGTATTTACATTTCTCTGCTGTCCCCTTAAGTAGTTTAATAATTGACCTTCTGAATTTTTTTTCTAACCATTCGGAGATGTCTTCTTGACTTGGATCCATTGCTAGTGAGCTAGTGTAATATTTTGGTGGTGTTAAATAATCTTGTTTTGTAATATTATCAGAATTGTATTTCTGGGTCCTTCTAATTTGGGTAGACTATGTCAGAGGAAACATCTGAGGATCAAGGGCTGCTATTTAGATTCTTTTGTCACAGGGGTGTTCCCTTGTTGTGGTGTTCTCCCCCTTCCCCTAGGGATGTGGCTTCCTACAAGCAGGACTGCAGTGATTATTATTTCTCTCCTGGGTCTAGCCATCCAGCAGAGCTTATGGGCTCTGGGCTGGTACTGGGGAGTGTCTGCAAAAAGTCCTGTGATGTGATCTGTCTTCAGGTCTCTCAGCTGTGGATAACAGCACCTGCTCCAGTGGAGGTAATGGGACTGAGGTAGACTGTGTGTAGGATCTTGGTTGTTGTTCTATTTAGCGTGCTGGTTTTCTTGAATGTTGGTTGTGCTGGCAGTAAAGTTGTCACATTGACGGACAGACTCAGGACCTCTGGTTAGCCAGGATGTTACAAGCAGAGGAGCTAGCTGTTGTTTTCTCCTTTCTTGTGGCAAGGTTGCTCTTTTATGAGTTGCTGTAATGGTTTGTATTGGCTGGCCTGTAGCCAGGAGGTAGCACTTTCAAGAGAGCATCAGCTGAGGTAGGATAGGGAAGATACAAGCTTGCCTTAGGGTCACCTGGATAAGTACTCTGGTTTCTCAGGCAGTGGGTGGAGCCATAGAGCTACCAAGAAATTACGTCTTTTTTCTTTGGCTACCAGGGTGCACAGAGAAAGAACATTAAATGGGGGCAGGTTTAGGTGTGCCTGAGCTCAGATTCTCCTTAGGTGAGTCTAGCTGTGGCCGCTGTGGGGGATGGGAGTGTGTTTCTCAGGCCAATGGAGTTACGTTCCCAGGGGAATTATGGCTGCCTCTGCTGCATCTTACAGGTCACCAGGGAAATGGGGTAAAGATGGCAGTGACAGACCTCACCCAGCTCGCACACAGCCAACAAGGCCAGTCTCACTCCCACTGTGCTCCCCCAACAACACTGAGTTTATATCCAGGCAGCTGGTGAGCTGGGCTGGGAACTTGCCCCAGGCTACAAACTTACCTTCGAGAAACCAAGCAGAGCTTTCAGGTTTTGCCCCTCCTGGTCGCAGCTTCTATGCTCCTATCTGCACTTTCTGTTTGCCCCCATACCTCCAGATTCTGCCCTGGAAAATTTGTGCTCAGTCAAAATTACTACAAAGTTCAGCTGGAATTTTCCTTCTCTCTGTGGTCTTTTCCCAGTTCCACTGGCCGCCCTCCTCAAGGACCCCTGTGAGATAAAGTCAGAAATAGTTCCTTGGGCTTCCTTGGGGACCAGGAGTGCCTAAAGGGCTTTTCCCATGGCTTCTTCTACTTTTATATTTCATTTGGCTGTCTAAATTTGTTTCAGCTCTGGGTAAAGTTAAATCTTTCTCCTGTGATCTGGATTTTCAGGCTCCTCAGTGAGGTTAAGGTATTTTTGGGTGGCCATTATTCAGCCTATTATGCTATATCCAAAATGAGGAGAGAGAGACAGAGAGAGAGAAAGAGAGAGGGAGATAGAGAGATAACAAAGAAATTGAAATCTCAAAGTGTCTACTAATCTGTGCTTCTGAAAGGTCAGCCTCCAGCATATGTGAACCTATGTTTTGCAGAGTACATTAATTTGAATTTAAATAGAAAATAGTAGGCCTTAAAATGAGTGTCATGGAATAAATTGTATTTATATATTTTAACCCCTAACTGATAAAGTCATTCTACTTTGAGATAGGGCCTTCAAGGAGGTAATTAAGGTTAAATGAAGTCATAAGGGTGAGGGCCTAATTGAATGCGACTGGTGTCCATATTAGAAGAGAAAGAGACTTCAGGAGCATGTGCACAGAGAAAAAGCCACTGAAGATACAGTGATAAAGAGGCTGTCAGCAAACCAAGGAGAGAGGCCTCAAGAAAATCAACAATGCCAGCACCTTGATCTTTTACTTCAGACAGTGAGAAATAAGTGACTGTTTTATAAGCCACCCATTCTGTGACATTTTGTTATTGCAGCCTGAGCAGACTAATACAATGAATAAAGGGAAAGGGAACTAAGTTGCTTTGTATAATAGAATGAGAAGAATTACATTTGGGGAAAGTAACACTGGAGGGGTCTGGCAAACAGAGGAGCAGGGAGTTATAAGGAGAGCCTTGAGGGAGAGAGGCCTAAGCAATCTAGAAGCATGTTGGAGCATATCGAAGAAGATGCTCAGCAAAAAATTCCATATGGCAGTATGGCCAAAAGACTTGCAAGAAGAACCATGTCTAAAATTCACTTCTAAATTGCACATTTTGTGTCAGCATACAATCTTTCCTTGGTTCCAAATTGCAAGTAGAGTGTTCTCTCTGCTACTCATTGCTTGTATGAGCACTTTGGGACAAAACTAAGGAAAAGGAACAGAGTTCCCTGGCTGAGTGGGTGTCAGACAGAAAAAGAGAAAAACTGTGACATAGATTAGTGGAAGCATGAACTCAAAACCAGATGTAATTATGAGATCATAATTCCCTGAGGATTCATAAATCATAGGGAGAACATTGAAATTCTTCACAATGTGGGCTAGAGAGTTTGTGCCAGATTTTTTTAAATCTCAAAACACAAGGTAACATTATCTGACATCTGGGAAACATATAAACATTGCTGAGTGTAATGCCTGATATTTGATACCCACCCACAAAATAATTTTACCCTTTTCTTCTTTTACTACTGGTAAGGGGAGGTGGGTGTGTGTGAGATAAAATAAAACAAACTTTTCAGTAAGGCATGAATGAATTAATATTCAGCTGAATCCTTTGTAGACTCTCCACTACTCTAGTGTTCAGAAAGAAGAAAGAATATTATATATAAAAATAGTGAGGCACAGAAGCCCTAAAACAGCAGTGTGTAAGCTAAGTAGATAATCTTTTATAGATTTTATGAAAACCAGCAAAAGAAAACAAATACTCTTCATTTTGGCATGGTACTTAAGAACCCCAAATTTAGAAGCCACTCAAAAACCGTAAAATGAAGGTCTGTCACTGGTAAATTCTCCCAATTTTCTGTCTTTAATAGCCCAGCTCCATGCCACAGGGGAAGAAATAGGAATGTGTCTTTTTCTAATTTGGAAAATCTTGTAGCATCTTCAAATATGATATAAATCAATTACAGGCATTAAGCTCTTTGAAGTTCAGCAGCCATGAAAGCACCACAAACTTACTGATTGTGGAAGTTAATAGATTCCAGAAGCCTTAGGTCTTCTCTAGAATTCTTTTGAATTGGAAGACATTTGAAGTATGTCATACAAAGAAAGACAGTCTGTGATTTGGGGAATGTTTCTCCAGCAAAGCCCCAGGCAATAATAGCCAGCATACCAGAACCCCGAATCATGTCAGTACAGGTAATTAACTCCTCCAAAAGAGCCTAGGTCTTCTGTGGGCAGTTACATGGTTGTCACTCAGCACTTCAGACATTTCAGAGGCTCGGGCTTCTCCCTACCTCCATCCCCACAGAAGTGCAAATTCTTCTAGCTATTTCAAAGTGAAGTCTTATTACAGAGCAGAAAATTATAATGAGCACCTCCAACATAACTACTGATGAAAAATACGTTTCTTAACTGCCGCTGAAGCGGCAAAGCAAATTTTATTTCTTTATGCTTACTTTTGAAAGTTATTTTAGGATTGCTGAGGGCAGCATAAAGATCACTTAAACTTAGGGGGCTCATACTCTCTCAATAGTTAGATTTCTAATTTGATAAAAATCAGCTCTATAGTGGCCCCCTAGTTAAGTAGCATAATTGGCTGACTGCAGATATTGCAGCTGATGCAAGAATGCTTGACATACGCAGGCATTAGGAAGAGAATACTCCACATTAAAATGCTGCATGAAAAAAAGTTGCATTGGAAAGTAACTTTATTAAAGTAAGCTTTAAAGATGCTTAAAAATTTTATCATAAAAAGATATTCTAGATATAAGTGAAAAATAACATAGAAACATGAATAATATATCCCATTTTGTTAAAATATATTTATATGTATTTATTTATTCATCATAAACACACACAAGTGCATACATACAATGCCTGGAAGTACGTATACCAAACTGCTGATAGGGGTAAGCGCTTGGTCAAGGAACTTGTTTTTGCTTATTTGTATGTGGTATATTTTCAATAATAAATATGGATTATACATGTAATAATAGAATTATAATAATATCTTTAAAGAAAGAAAGAAATCCAATTATTCAAATCCATTTTCAATTTCAGGTTCAGGGTTTTATTAATACCACAAATTTATGACTATTTTTTATAAGATTCGTATATCTTTTTTTACAGAACACCACATTCTTCCAACTCTTGGCTCCTTTCACTGCTTTAAAAAATAAATGTGGGTGGTCAGTCAAAAAATATTCACTGAGGACCCAGTCTACAATCTTGGTCCAAAATATAGAGTAACTCCCCTACTCTCATTGCCTTAAAAATGGAAAGTTTTAAAATGAGAACTTCCTTTTGTCAGTAGGTTAGGGCTGTGCACTAAATACTTTGAGAGCTGTTGTCTCAGTCTCTAGAAGAAAATTTTCAACTAGAATTGTGAACTAGTTTTTGATTTTGAATTTTGACTAGAATTTCAAAAAATATCTAGCCTTTGTCTAGAAATTTGACAAGAATTTTTAATTTTCAAAATAATGGAATGATGTCTTTGAATAATGATAAGTAACATTAATTGAACATCTACCATGTGCCAGGAACTTTTTATGGTTTATCTTATATAATCCTGCAAATAATGCTATTGAGGTAAATGCAATATTTCCTATTTTCTAGGTTAGGAATTATGGTTTAGAGAGATTAAGTCACTTGTCTAAATTGACACAATTAGCAAATAGGGGAACTTGGGACTCCAACACAGATTTTATTTTTTAATTTACATATTTATTTTTTATTATACTTTAAATTCTGGGGTACACGTTCACAACGTGCAGGTTTGTTACATATGTATACATGTTTCATGTTGGTGTGCTGCACCCATTAACTCATCATTTACATTAGGTATATCTCCTAATGCTATTCCTCCCCCATTCCCCCAGCCCACAACATGCCCCAGTGTGTGATATTCCCCTCCCTGTGTCTATGTGTTCTCATTGTTCAATTCCCACCTATGAGTGAGAACATGCAGTGTTTGGTTTTCCATCCTTGTGATAGTTTGCTGAGAATGATGGTTTCCAGCTTCATCCATGTCCCTACAAAGGACATGAACTCATCATTTTTTATGGCTGCATAGTATTCCATGGTGTGTATGTGTCACGTTTTCTTAATCCAGTCTATCATTGATGGACACTTGGGTTGGCTCCAAGTCTTTGCTATTGTGAATAGTGTTGCAATAAACATATGTGTGCATGTGTCTTTATATCAGCATGATTTATAATCCTTTGGATATATACCCAGTAATGGGATGGCTGAGTCAAATGGTATTTCTAGTTCTAGATCCTTGAGGAATTGATACACTATCTTCCACAATGGTTGAACTAGTTTACAGTCCCACCAACAGCATAAAAGTGTTCTTATTTCTCCACATCCTCTCCAGCACCTGTTGTTTCCTGACTTTCTAATGATCTCCATTCTAACTGGTGTGAGATGGTATCTCATTGTGGTTTTGATTTGCATTTCTCTGATGGCCAGTGATGATGAGCATTTTTTCATGTGTCTGTTGGCTGCATAAATGTCTTCTTTTGAGAAGTGTCTGTTCATGTCCTTCACCCACTTTTTGATGGGGTTGTTTGTTTTCTTCTTGTAAATTTGTTTGAGTTCATTGTAGATTTTGGATATTAGCCCTTTGTCAGATGAGTAGATTGCAAAAATTTTCTCCCATTCTGTAGGTTGCCTGTTCACTCTGATGGTAATTCCTTTTGCTGTGCAGAAGCTCTTTAGTTAAATCAGATCACATTTGTCAATTTTGGCTTCTGTTGCCATTGCTTTTGGTGTTTTAGACATGAAGTCCTTGCCCATGCCTAGGTCCTGAATGGTGTTGCCTAGGTTTTCTTCTAGGGTTTTTATGGTTTTAGGTCTAACATTTAAGTCTTTAATCCATCTTGAATTAATTTTTGTATAAGGTGTAAAGAAGGGATCCAGTTTCAGCTTTCTACATATGGCTAGCCAGTTTTCCCAAGCACCATTTACTAAATAGGTAATCCTTTCCCCACTGCTTGTTTTTGTTAGGTTTGTCAAAGATCAGGTGGTTGTAGATGTGTGGTATTATTTCTGAGTGCTCTGTTTTGTTCTATTGGTCTATATCTCTGTTTTGGTACCAGTACCATGCTGTTTTGGTTACTGTAGCCGTGTGGTATAGTTTGAAATCAGGTAGCATGATGCCTCCAGCTTTGTTCTTTTGGCTTAGGATTGACTTGGCAATGCGGGCTCTTTTTTGGTTCCATATGAACTTTAAAGTAATTTTTTCCAATTCGGTGAAGAAAGTCATTGGTAGCTTGATGGGGATGGCATTGAATCTATAAATGACCTTGGGCAGTATGGCCATTTTCATGATATTGATTCTTCCTATCCATGAGCATGGAATGTTCTTCCATTTGTTTGTGTCCTCTTTCATTTCCTTGAGCAGTGGTTTGTAGTTCTCCTTGAAGAGGTCCTTCACGTCCCTTGTAAGTTGGATTCCTAGATATTTTATTCTCTTTGAAGCAATTGTGAATGGGAGTTCACTCATGATTTGTCTCTCTGTTTGTCTGTTATTGGTTTATAGGAATGCTTGTGATTTTTGTACATTGATTTTGTATCCTGAGACTTTGCTGAAGTTGCTTCTCAGCTTAAGGAGATTTTGGGCTTAAACGATGGGGTTTTCAAAATATACAATCATGTCACCTGCAAACAGGGACAATTTGACTTCCTCTTTTCCTAACTAAATACCCTTTATTTCTTTCTCCTGTCTGATTGCCCTGGCCAGAACTTCCAACACTATGTTGAATAGGAGTGGTGAGACAGGGCATCTCTGTCTTGTGCTGGTTTTCAAAGGGAATGCTTCCAGTTTTTGCCCATTCAGTATGATATTGGCTGTGGGTTTGTCATAAATAGCTCTTATTATTTTGAGATATGTCCCATCAATACCTAATTTATTGAGACTTTTTAGCATGAAGGACTGTTGAATTTTGTCAAAGGCCTTTTCAGCATCTATTGAGATAATCATGTAGTTTTTGTCTTGGTTCTGTTTATATGATGGATTATGTTTATTGATTTGCATATGTTGAACCATCCTTGCATCCCAGGGATGAAGCCCACTTGATCATGGTGAATAAGCTTTTTGATGTGCTGCTGGATTTGATTTGCCAGTATTTTATTGAGGATTTTTGCATCAATGTTCATCAGGGATATTGGTCTAAAATTCTCTTCTTTTGTTGTGTCTCTGACAGGCTTTGGCATCAGGATGATGCTGGCCTCATAAAACGAGTTAGGGAGGATTCCTTCTTTTTCTTTTGAGTGGAATAGTTTCAGAAGGAATGGTACCAGCTCCTTCTTGTACCTCTGGTAGAATTCAGCTGTGAATTCATCTGGTCCTGGACTTTTTTTGTTGGTAAGTTATTAATTACTGCCTCAATTTCAGAGCTTGTTATTGGTCTATTCAGAGATTCAACTTCTTCCTGGTTTAGTCTAGGGAGGTTTTATGTGTCGAGGAATGTATCCATTTCTTCTAGATTTTCTAGTTTATTCACATAGAGTTGTTTGTAGTATTCTCTGATGATAGTTTTTCTGTGTGATCAGTGATGATATCCCCTTTATCATTTTTTATTGTGTGTATTTGATTCTTCTCTCTTTTCTTCTTTATTAGTCTTGCCAGCGGTCTATCAATTTTGCTGATCTTTTCAAAAAACCAGCTCCTGGATTCATTGATTTTTTGTGTCTCTATCTCCTTAAGTTCTGCTCTGATCTTACTTATTTCTTGCCTTGTGCCAACTTTTGAATTTGTTTGCTCTTGCTTCTCTAGTTCTTTTAATTGTGATGTTAGGGTGTCCATTTTAGATCTTTCCTGCTTTCTTTCGTGGGCATTTAGTGGTATAAATTTCCCTCTACACAGTGCTTTAAATGTATCCCAGAGATTCTGGTATGTTGTGTCTTTGTTCTTATTGGTTTCAAAGAACATCTTTATTTCTGCCTTCATTTCATTATGTACCCAGTAGTCATACAGGAGCAGGTTGTTCAGTTTCAATGTAGTTGAGTGGTTTGGAGTGAGTTTCTTAATCCTGAGTTCTGGTTTGATTGCACTGTGGTCTGAGAGACAGTTTGTTATAATTTCTGTTGTTTTACATTTGCTGAGGAGTGCTTTACTTCCAACTGTGTGGTCAATTTTGGAATAAGTGTTATGTGGTGCTGAGAAGAATGTATATTCTGTTGATTTGGGGTGGAGAGTTCTGTAGATGTCTATTAGGTCCGCTTGGTGTACAGCTGAGTTGAATTCCTGGATATCCTTCTTAACTTTCTGTCTGGTTGATCTGTCTAATGTTGACAGTGGGGTATTAAAGTCTCCAATTATTATTGTGTGGGAGTCTAAGCCTCTTTCTAGGTCTCTAAGGACTTGCTTTATGAATCTGGGTGCTCCTGTATTGGGTGCATATATATTTGGGATAGTTGGCTCTTCTTGTTGAATTGATTCCTTTACCGTTATGTAATGGCTTTCTTTGTCTCTTTTGATCTTTGTTGGTTTAAAGTCTGTTTTATCAGAGACTAGGATTTCAACCCCTGCTTTTTTTTTTGTTTTGTTTTCCATTTGCTTGGTAGATCTTCCTCCATCCCTTTATTTTGAGCCTATTTGTGTCTCTGCATGTGAGATGGGTCTCCTGAATACAGCGCACTGATGGGTCTCGAATCTTTATCCAATTTGCCAGTCTGTGTCTTTTAACTGGAACATTTAGCCCATTTACATTTAAGGTTAATATTGTTATGTGTGAATTTGACCCTGTTGTTATGATGCTAGTTGGTTATTTTGCCCATTAATTGATGCAGTTTCTTCATGTCGATGGTCTCTACAATTCAGTATGTTTTTGCAGTGGCTGGTACTGGTTTTTCCTTTCCATATTTTGTGCTTCCTTCAGTAACTCTCGTAAGGCAGGCCTGGTGGTGACAAAATCTCTCAACATTTGTTTGTCTGTACAGGATTTTATTTCTCCTTTGCTTATGAAGCTTAGTTTGGCTGGATATGAAATTCTGGGTTGAAAATTCTTTTCTTTAAGAATGTTGAATATTGACCCCCACTCTCTTCTGACTTGTAGAGTTTCTGCCGAGAGATCAGCTGTTAGTCTGATGGGCTTCCATTTGTGGGTAACCCGACCTTTCTCTCTGGCTACCCTTAATATTTTTTCCTTCATTTCAACTTTGGTGAATCTGACAATTATGTGTCTTGTGGTTGCTCTTCTCAAGGAGTATCTTCGTGGCATTCTCTGTATTTCCTGAATTTTATTGTTGGCCTGCCTTGCTAGATTGGGGAAGTTCTCCTGGATAATATCCTGCAGAATGTTTTCCAACTTGTTTCCATTCTCCCCGTCACTTTCAGGTACACCAATCAGACGTAGATTTGGTCTCTTCACATTGTCCCATATTTCTTGGAGGCTTTGTTCATTTGTTTTTACTCTTTTTCCTCTAAACTTCTCTTCTCACTTCATTTCATTCATTTGACCTTCAATCACTGATACTCTTTCTTCCAGTTGATCAAATCAGCTACTGAAGCTTGTGCATTTGTCACGTAGTTCTCGTGCCATGGTTTTCAGCTCCATCAGGTCATTTAAAGACTTGTCTACACTGGTTATTCTAGTTAGCCATTAGTCTAATCTTTTTTCAAGGTTTTTAGCTTCTTTTTGATAGGTTCGAATTTCCTCCTTTAGCTCAGAGAAGTTTGATCGTCTGAAGCCTTCTTCTCTCAACTCGTCAAAGTCATTCTCCATCCAGCTTTGTTCCATTGCTGGTGAGGAGCTGTGTTCCTTTGGAGGGGGAGAGGTTCTCTGATTTTTAGAATTTTCAGCTTTTCTGCTGTTTTTTTTCCCATCTTTGTGGTTTTAACTACCTTTGGTCTTTGATGATGGTGACATACAGATGGGGTTTTGGTGTGGATGTCCTTTCTGTTTGTTAGTTTTCTTTCTGACAGTCAGGACCCTCAGCTGCAGGTCTGTTGGAGTTTGCTGGAGGTCCACTCCAGACCCTGTTTTACTGGGTATCAGCAGCAGAGGCTGCAGAACAGCGGATATTGGTGAACAGTAAATGTTGCTGCCTGATCACTCCTCTGGAAGTTTTGTCTCAGAGGGTTCCCCGGCCATGTGAGGTGTCAGTCTGCCCCTACTGGGGGAGTTGCCTCCCAGTTAGGCTACTCAGGGGTCAGCGACCCACTTGAGGAGGCAGTCTGTCCGTTCTCAGATCTCAAACTCCATGCTAGGAGAACCACTACTCTCTTCAAAGCTGTCAGACAGGGACATTTAAGTCTGCAGAGGTTTCTGCTGCCTTTTGTTCAGCTATGCCCTGCCCCCAGAGGTGGAGTCTACAGAGGCAGGCAGGCCTCCTTGAGCTGCGGTGGGCTCCACCCAGTTTGAATTTCCAGCCACTTTGTTTACCTACTCAAGCCTCAGCAATGGTGGGCGCCCCTCCCCGAGCCGTGCTGCCACCTTGCAGTTCAAACTCAGACTGCTGTGCTAGCAATGAGTGAGAGTCTGTGGGCACGGGAGCCTCTGAGCCAGGAGTGGGATATAATCTCCTGGTGTCCCATTGGCTAAGACCATTGGAAAAGCGCAGTATTAGAGTGGGAGTTGACACGATTTTCCAAGTGCCGTCTGTCACAACTTCACTTGGCTAGGAAAGGGAATTCCCTGATCCCTTGTGCTTCCCATGTGAGGCGATGCCTTGCACTGCTTCGGCTCACACTCAGTGTGCTGCACCCACTGTCCTGCATCCACTGTCCAACAAGCCCCAGTGAGATGAACCCAGTACCTCAGTTGGAAATGCAGAAATCACCCGTCTTCTGCATTGCTGATTCTGGGAGCTATAGACTGGAGCTGTTCCTATTCGGCCATCTTGGGACCGCCCCCCATCCAACACAGATTTTTATTACTCCAAAGACTTTCTATCGCTGTGTTACATTTCATTCTTTGACCAAATATATCTAGAGCAAAATTATTTACACTGAGAAAAAACGGTGGTAAAATCTACATATTTTACATATGTTTTATGTATGTCATCTCATTTCATCCACAGAATAATCCTATGAGGAAGTTACTTCTAACAATCCTATTTTACAGATAATAAAATTGAGGCTCAGACTCACTAAGTAAATTAACTGATGCCACATGGTTGTTAAGTGGTGGATCCAGGATTCAAATATTGATCTGTTTAATTTAAAAACTTCAAAGACACAAAAACATTAATATAAATAGATAGTGTTTGCTATGCACTAAATTGTGTTCTCCCCAAATTTATATGTGAGACATTAACCCTCAATGTGATGATATTTGAAGATGGGGCTTCTGGGAAATAATTAGGTTTAGATGAATTCATGATGATGGGGTCTTTATGATGGGATTAGTGAGTGCCCTTATAAGAAGAGACACCAGAGAGTTTGCTCTATCTTGCCTTTCCTGCTATGTGGGCTAACAGTAAAGAGTAGACTTCTACAAGCTATGAAAATAGCCCACACACAAAAAACAACCATACTGGTATCTTGATCTTTGACTTCCCAGCCTCTACATGTGAGAAAATAAATTTCTCTTATTTAAGCCATCAAGTCCAAAGTATTTTGCTATGGCAGCCTGAACTGACTAGGACACATCTGTTGAATATGTATTACACACCAAGCACTGTTCTAAATACTTCAAATGTATTATCTCATTAAACCCTCACAAGTATCATCTTATGAGGCAGATAATTTTATTATTCCCATTCTACAAGTAAAAAAAACTGAGAATTAAGAATATTAAGTAACATATCTAAAGTTGCATCAACAGTTAATTGGTAGAGCCAGAAACTGAGCTCCGGTCTTTTTATTTCAAAGTCAGAAATATAACATTTTAAGGCACTATAATACAGTGATCAAGATTTCATGGGTTCAAATCTTTGTTTAGCACTTACTAGCTGTGTGATCCTGGGCAAGTTGGTTGCCATCTCTGAGCTTCAATCCTCTTCTTCAAAAATGAAGATAATGGTAAAACCTAACTAATAGGTTAACTTATATAACGTGCTTAGAACAGTGCCTGACAAGTTGCTATATTACATGCCAAATATATATATATATAAGCTTGAACCTGGGAGGGGGAGGTTGCAGTGGGCCAAGATCATCCCATTGCACTCCAGCTTAGGTGACGAGAGTGAAACCCCATCTCAAACATATATATATATAAACATATATTATAAAAGCAAAAATAAACTAACAAAGAAAACTGATACTATGGAGTGAAATTGGTACTATTGCTATAAAGATAACTGAAAATATGGATGCAGATTTTAAACTGGGTAATGAGCAGAGTTTGGAAGTGTATTGAGGGCTTGGAAGAAGACAGGAAGATGAGGGAAAGTTTGAAACTTCTTAGAGACTGGTTAAATGGTTGTGATCAAGCTGATAGAAATATAGACAATGAAGGCCAGGCTGATGAGCTCTCAGATGGAAATGAGGAAGTTATTGGGGACAGGAGTAAATGTGACTCTTTTTACACCTTAGCAAAGGACTTGGCTGCATTGTCCTTGCCCTAAGTGTTTAAGAAAGTTCGAACTTAAGGGAGATGACCTAGGGTATCTAGTGGAAAAAATTTCTAATCAGCAAAGCATTCAAGAAGTGACCTGGCTGCTTCTAACAAACAGCCTATTATAAAATACAGGAGCAAAGAAATGACTTAAAGTTGAAACTTATATTTAAAAAGGAAACAGAGTGTAGAAGGAAAGAGTACTCTCAGAGGAGGAATACAAGCAGGTTGAGGAACAATCACTTCCTGGAGAGATTTGCATGACTGAAAGGAAGCCAGGTGCTAATATCCAGGACAATGGGAAAAGGCTTTGAAGGCATTTCAGAAATCTCTGAGGCAGCTCCTCCAATCAAAGGTCCAGAGGCCTCAGAGAAAAGGATGGTTTCAGTGGCTAGGCCTGGGATACCACTGCCCTGCTCAGCCTTGGGACACTGCTGCCCACATCCCTGCTGCTCTAGCTACAGCTGTGGCTCAAAGAGCCCCAGGTACAGCTCAGGGTGTTACTACAGAGAGTGTAAGCTGTAAGCCTTGTTGGCTTCCAGGAGATGTTAAGCCTGAAGGTGTGCAGAATGCAAGACTGAAGGTTTGGCATCTTCCACCTACACTTCAGGGGATGTATGAAAAAGCCTGGTGTCTAGGCAAAAGGCTGCTGCAGGAGCAGAGCCTTCACAAAGAGCCTCTACTAGGGCAGTGTGGAAGGGAAATGTGGAGGTTGGAGCCCATAAATGGAGTTCTTACTGGGGCATTGCCTAGTAGAGCTGTGGGAAGGGAGCTGCTACCCTCCAGACCCCAGAACTGTAGAGCCACTGGCAGCTTGCACCCTGAGCCTGGAAAAGTTGCAGGCACTCAACTGCAACCTCTGAGAGCAGCCATAGGGGCAGCACCATGCAAAGCCACAGAAGCAGAGCTACCCAAGGACTTGGGAGCCCAGCCTTCACACTAGTGTGCTCTGGAGTAAAAGGAGATTATGAAGATTCAAGATTTAGTGACTGTCCAGCTGGGGTTCAGACTTGTGTGGGGACTCTTCCTCCTTTCTTTTGACCAATTTTACATTTTTTGAATTGGAATATTTACTGACTGCCTGTAACACCATTGTTGGAATCTTGAAAGTAAACAACTTGTTTTGATTATACAGTCTCATAGGTGGAAGGAACATGCCTTGAGATCAGAAGAGACTTTGTATTTTGGACTTTTGATTGAGTTGATGCTGAAATGAGTTAAAACTTTTGGAGAGTATTGGGCAGGCATGATTATATTTTGCAGTGTGAGAAAGACATGAGATTTTCAGGGCCAGAACAAAATGATATTGTTTGGATGTTTGTCTCCTCCAAATCTTATGTTGAAATTTGACCTCCAGCGTTGGAAGTGGGGCCTCATAGGAGGTGTTTGGGTCCTGGGAGTGGATTCCTCCTTAATGTCTTGGTGCCTTCCTCACGGCAATCAGTTCTCACTCTGGGATCATGTGAGAACTGGTTGTTTAAGGAGCCTGGAACCTACCCCTTCTCTCTCTTACTCCATGTCTTACCATGTAACATACATGCTCCCCCTTCACTTTCTGGGATAAATGGAAGCTTTCTGAGGCCCTCATCTGAAGCAGATACTGGCACCATGCTTCTTGTACAGCCTGCAGAACTGTGAGCCAAATAAACTTCTTTTCTATCTAAATTACACAATCTCAGATGTTTCTTTATAGCAATGCAAACAGAGAAACACATAGGGTCAAATTTCACTTTGCAAAGTCTGTAGCAAGTTTTCTGGACACAACCAAATATAAATAGGAAGATAAATAAATTCTGAGATATAAAATAAATGTACATACTTTATCTTCAAAATAAGGCTATTGAGGTAGGTAATTTTTTTTTCTAATTTCCAGGTTAGAAATTATAATATAGGCTAAGTCACTGGATAAATAAAATAAAATAAGAAAGAATACAATTAATACATAAAATAAAATATATATATTTTTCTTTTTCAACTTTTATTCTAGGTTCAGTGGGTACATATGCAGATTTGTATGTGGGCAAACTGTGTGTTCCTGGGGTTTGATACACAAATGATTTTGTCACTCAGGTGGTGAGTATAGTACCCTATGGGTAGTTTTTTTACCCTCACCCTCCTCCCACCATCTTTCCACCTTTCATCCACAAGTAGGCCCCAGTATCTATGGTTTTCCACTTTGCATCCATGTGTACTCAAGTTTTAGCTTCCACTTACAAGTAAGAACATGCGGTACTTTATTTTCTGTTCTTTTTTAAAATACTCTTGGGATAATGACCTCCAGCTGAATTCATGTTCCTGCAAATGACATTCTTTCATTATTTTTTATGGCTGCATAGTATTTCATGGAGTGTATGTACCACATATTTTTTATCCCATATGCTGTTGATGGATATCTAGGCTGGCTCCATATCTTTGTTATTGTGAATGGTGTTGCAAAGAACATACAAGTGTATGTGTCTTTTTGTTACAATGATTTATATTCTTTTGGGTATATACCCAGTAATTAGATTCCTGGGTTGAATGGTAGTTCTGTTTTAAGTATTTTGAGAAATCTTACTGCTTTCCACAGCGACTGAACTAATTTACATTCCCACCGGCAGTGTATAAGCATTCCCTTTTCTCTGCAACATCACCGGAATCTGTTATTTTATGGCCAAGCATGTGGTTGATCTTAGAGTATATGCTATGCACAGTTAAGAAAAGCATACATTTTGTTGTTGTTGGGTGGAGTATTCTACAGATGTCTTTTAGGTCCATTTGGTCAACCATTAAGTTTAGGCCCTGAATATCTTTCATTGTTTTCTGCCTTGATGATCTGTTTAACACTAGGATGGTGACATGACCAGGAAGAGCATAAAAGGTTCACATCCCTTCCCACATACCTCACCCTATGTATATCTTCTTCTGTATCTTTTATTATATCCTTTATAATAAACCAGTTAATGTAAACAAAAAATAAATCAACTATACAATCAAGTCTACATGACAGCTTAACAAAGCTAACAGTGTGATGACAAGATCCCCCTAACACCATCTGTTAAGGGGGTATTGCAGTCTTCCACTATTACTGTGCCACTATCTCAGTTTCTTTATAGGTCTCTAAGAAGTTGTTTTATGAATCTGGGTGCTCCCATGTTGGTTACATATATATATAGTATATTAAATCTTCTTGTTGACTCAAGTCTTTTATCATTATTTAATGGCCTTCTTTGTTCTTTATGATTATTGTTGGACTAACGTCTGTTTTTTTCTGAAATAAGAATAGCAATCCCTGCTTTTTGGGGGTTTTCTTTTGTTTGACAGATCTTTTTCCTTCCCTTTACTTTGAGCCTATGAGTGTCATTGGAGGACAGACAGGCTTTTTGAAGATGGCATACAGTTGGGTCTTTCTTCTTTACCCAGTTTGCCATTATGTGTCTTTTAAGTGGGGTGTTTAGCCCATTTATATTCAAGGTTAATATTAGTATTTCAAGATTTGATCTTGTCATCACACCATTAGCTGGTTGTTATGTAGACTTGATTGTACAGTTGTTTTAGTTTTTGTTTACATTTACTGGTTTATTATAAAGGATATCACAAAGGATACAGATGAAGATATACATAGGGTGAGGTATGTGGAAAGGGATGTGAACTTTCTATGCCCTTCCTGGTCATGTCACCATCCAGGAGGCTCCATGTTTTCAGCTTTTACAACTCATTGAACCTTATTATCTTGGGTTTTTGTGGAAGCTTCATTATACAAGCATTACTTGTCTCAGGGTATAGGGTGGAACCCTCTCATGGGCTAGTCTTAACACCCACAATCAGAAAGGTGGGGGAAGGAGCGAAGGAGACGTTCAGTGGCCTACCCCTGAGGCCTAACACACTCAAATTATAACAAAATACTTTAATAAGTGTAATAGGAGTTATAAGCCACAAACCAATGATGAAAACCAATATATATCATAACACCACAGGCCACCCCCTGGCTTTCAATCACAGATCATTTACATTAATATATATATATTATATAAAATCATTATTAATTATTCCAGTCCATCATGTTGTATAAATGTCTCCCAGGATGAGGCCACTCAGGTTTGTAGGTTTCCTCTCAATCTTGTCAGCTTCCAATAGCAGGAGTGGCCTTAGTAAATATACAGCATTACCCTTTCTGGCATCTGGAATAATTGCACTAAGAGACAATATCATCTCTTGCTTTGAGACTATTTTGAGTTGTTAATGTAATTTTGAATTTTATCTCAGTTAATAACCCAGTTATTCATTTCTTTAATTTCAGCTGGTATTTCTCCTTCTCTCCATTAATACCCAAACCTTTTTCAACTTTGGAAGAGACATTAGAATTGCCACTGTGCTGGTCTAGATTGCAGGTAGCAATACAAGTCTGGCAAGTAGCTCCTCCTCAATCCACTTCCATTCAGATAGAGTAAGGTTACATAGGGGCAGAACTAGTGAGTTATTTTTACCATCCGGCAATATAGCTGCATTCACTGTTAGCCCCAATTTTTCTAGATGGGGTGAAGGCACAACCCACCTCCATAGTGCCCTTAGGAATTTTGAAATAAGGTTTAAAAATACTGTTATACATTTTGCTTAGAAATCTCCCCTGCTATTTAAACTTGTAGTTGCTTTCCAGGTTCTAGGACCACTGCATCAGGTAGAAAAAATAAAATATTTTATTTCTGAAATAATTTGAGAAAGAAAGAAAGAATTATAGTTGTTATATAAGCATGTAAGCCAGCCCTTCATGCTTTTATCTTTGCCTGTTTTAGACAACCAATGTTTCAATTACCCGTTCCACTTCTCTGTCAAGCTATTACTCTTAGCAGGATATCACTCTACCCATTGTTGGACATTATGGGCTGTACAGTGTGTTACTTGATCTGAAGAAATGATGAGTGGTCATGCAAATCCATGCAATATCTTCTGTTCTATACTTTTTATGGCACTCTGAACATTATCATCTTCAGATGGATAAGCAAAACCCACTTTAGAGTCAGTGTTTATTCCTGTCAAGACCCATTTTTAGCCCTCTAGGGCTACTGGCATTAGTCTCACTTGCCAGCTATGTTCAGGGCCTTTCAACCAGAGAATCTGCCCCATAGCCATCAGCAGTCTCTGTCGCTCTTGATGAAAAACAGAACAATTCTTTCTGAGATTTTGTGCCTAAGAAAGTGAAGAAGGAACCTGTCTTGATTCATCCCATTTCTATACTGCTACAATACTCCCATATCCAACTGTTTCACTGATGCAGGTGGCCACATCAAGGGAGCACATGGGGATATCTGCTTTTTAATTCCAATCACCTTATGAATCCAGAAGGGAGTTCTTCTGTTGGTCATTGACTTGTTGGTCATTGACTTGTTCTGCTTTAATTCACCCCTTAAATCTCCATAGGGCCTTGTTCTATAGAAGCATTCTTCTAATAGGACAGGTTTCCATCACCCTCTTGCCTGCGTGTGTGGCCAGACCATTGGTCACTGCCCATGAGCCAGTGAAAACCCGAACACAGGGGCTTCTATCATTGTTCAATTTTTTCCATCACTGTTAGAAAAACAGCATGCAATTCATCCCATTGAGCAAATCTGTTTTTACGTTCTCTTATCAAAGTAGCAGAAAACGGTGTCCATTTACCTTGGAATTACCTTTCCCAAATCAAGCAACTTGCGTTCAGTCAGTTGAGAGCTGTTTCCTGAACACTGAAGAATCCAGCAGCTTCTTACACAGTTCCACAGTCAGTCCTATGGGAAAAGAAACACATAACATTTCATAGCAAGGGAGTACATGCCCCTCAAGTGGAAATTCTCTAGTTCAAAATCCCAATAGTTGTTGCTGGGAGGTGCTCAAGGTTTTCACCATAAGCTCCAGGAAGTGCTCCACAGAGGGTTATCAAGGGGAGCATTTGTCCCTACCTGCACTCTAGCGTCTACTTTGCAATGTGTGGGCTTGGGCAGTCTTACTGGTTCACATTTAGCATGTCCAATTAATATTGCTTGAAGAGCAGATTTACATGCCTTCTGTTTTATAGTACCAAGTAGAGGAAACATTCCCTAATCAGATACAATGTTCATTCTCATGATACAATCAGGTAAAAGAGATGCAACCACTTCAAATGAAGTATGTTTAAATATGCCAACTTTCACACTCCTATCAGGCCTTGCATTTTTATGCTCTAGTTTCAGGAACTTCTTTCTCCATTCCAAGACTGTTTTACCCTCTCTTGTGCAAAAGGCTTTGGGTCCCCAAGCAAGGATTGAGCCAAAGGACCCTGGCCTTTTTGTCAATCTTTATTTTGATTAGCCTGCCCTACTATTGACCCAGGTAATTTCAGATCAGGTTTTTCATTGTAATCTCTGCCTTCCAGCCTTTAAAATTTCTCCAAACTGGGAGAAACACAGCAAACTGGTTTGAAGCCCTTTAATGTTGGGGAACAAGAAGGGGCTCCCTTTGATCCACCCAACTTTGGATAGTATTCTATTAAGACCTTTGTTTTAACCCCACCAATTTTTATTGTATTCATTTCTTTTCTTAGAACCATATAAAGATTTCCACCCTGATGGGATGAGTCCCATAACTCTCTCCCTTCTTTTTATTCTTAGCTTTGCCCCATCAATATTTTCTTTATTCTCCTTGTTTTCTAATAATTATTTTAAAATTTCCACATTCCTAGTATAAGTCCTTTGAAGGTCCCTTTTGCCTTTCCCCATTCTCTTGTTAATTAACCTGATGCTTATATTAGCACCTGTAAGACCCATGAGGGGAAGCTGATATTGCAAATTTGATACAACTTCTCAAACTGTTTGATTATGCAGAAGTAACATCACATGGGGTGCCCATGTAGAATGGCCTCCCACTTAAAACAGCATTTACTAAGACCTGGATAACAGGCATATTCAGGGAGTGAATATCCCTGTCATCATAAAGCCAGTCTCACATGGCTTGCATACAAAGCATAACAGCTACCTCATCTGTAGTGTTTTACTTACATTTATAGGTGCATTTGGACAGTCCACTTTTCAGGGTAAACAGACTTACAGTGGCTTTTTCCCAGTCTGCCAGGCTGGCTGTTTCCTCAGGAATAAGCTCCTGCGTGTCTGGATCACATACACCCATTTGCAATTATTCAGTAGTGAGCTGTGGGTCCTGCATCAACCCAAACATGCTCTACCACTCTGAAGGTACTGCCCCTACATTAGTCGATCTTCTAATGCACATTAGCAAAGGTTCTTCAGGAAACTGATAATACTTATTTATACAATGAAAGAATTTCTTCAAACTATACACTCTGGTTTCAATAGTTACTTGTTTTTTCCCTTTCCCCACATTGACTACCTACTTTGTAACCACAGATCTTAGAGGTACATTGTGTTGCCCTTGCATACTTGGGTGGTGGCTTTGAGGCTGGTGGCCTAAGCTCAGACTTACTAAAATGTGAGCTTCGTCTAGCATCAAAGTCAGACCGAGCATTCTCTCTTAGTTTCATTTTAGCTATTACAGATAACAACAACTGAAAGATTGAATGTTTCACCTTTCTCATATTCATTTACATTTCCTTACACATCTAACATACCAATTCCTGGGGAGTTGGATTCATCTCTAAATTACACTGGTAACTTTCACTTTTAGTAACTGATCTCAATGCAACTGTGTCTTCATACGATGAGTGATCACATGGCCACCCAGGAATCAAAGGTTCTTCATCTCCCCACCCTTTTGTCCTTTCTATATCCAAATCACATGCTTCTGTGAGCCAAGACCTTTCCAGCAAATACTGCTTCACTGACACTATGTACCTAAAGATAGTGTCAGATCCCACAGATCAAGGACTCAGTCCCCAAGACTGTCTCCTCCTCACACCAGTCACATGCCCAGACCCCCAGAAATTCTGACTAATCAGCTTCAAGTTGGGGTTCCCATGATCCCCTCTTTGGGTTTGATTAATTTGCTGGAGTGACTCACGGAATTCAGGGGAACACTTATATTTACTGGTTTATTATAAAGTATATTGCAAAGGGTACAGATGCAGAGATGCATAGGGTGAGGTGTGGAGGTGTCATGCTCTCCCTGGGCATGCCACCCCCAGAAATCTCCATGTGTTCAGCTATTAAGAAGCTCCTACAGCTGCTTTATAGTGTTAATGGGTTATGCAGTTACATGTGTTTTTGTGGTGGCCAGTTACAGCTTTTGTTTCCAAGTTTAG
Organism: Homo sapiens; assembly: GCF_000001405.40. Lineage (NCBI taxonomy): Eukaryota > Metazoa > Chordata > Mammalia > Primates > Hominidae > Homo > Homo sapiens. The sequence continues at coordinate 85,573,317 of NC_000023.11, read as the reverse complement.
CACTCCCTTCAGGACCTCTTTTAAGGCAGGTCTGGTGATAATGAATTCTCTTAGTATCTCCTTGTCTGAAAAGAATACTATTTCTTCTTTGCTTGTGAAGTTTAGTTTGGCTACATATGAAATTCTTAGTGGGAATTTCCTTTCTTTTCTTTTCCTTTTTTTTTCTTTTCTTTACATTTTTGGAGACAGGGTCTTGCTCTGTTGCCCAGGCTGGAGGGCAGTGGTGTGATCATAGCTCACTACAACCTCAAACTCCTGGGCTCAAGCAATCCTCCTGTCTCAGCCTCCAGCATAGCTGGGACAACAGGCACAAACCACCATGCCTGGCTGGAATTTCTTTTCTTTAAGGATGCTGAATATAGGTCCCAAGTCTCTTCTGGCTTGTAAGGTTTCTGCTGAAAAAACCGCTATTAGCCAATGGGGTTTCCTTTGTAGGTGGCCTGCCCCTTCGCTCTAGCTGCCTTTAAAATTTTTTTCTTTTGCACTGACACTGGAGAATCTGAAAACTATGTCTTAGGGATAGTCATCTTGTATACTATCTCACAAGAGTTCTCTGAATTTCCTGAATTTGCTGTTGACCTCTCTAGTGAGGTTGAGGACATTTTGATGGACAATATCCTTTCATATGTTTTCCAAGTTCCTTTCTCTCTTTCAATCTCTCTCAAGAATGTCAGTGAGTTGTAGGTTTTGTCTTTTTACATAATACTATATTTCTCGAAGGTTTTATTCATTTTTTATATTCTGCTTTCTCTATTTTTGTTTGTCTGCATTGAATCAAAGGATTGGTTTTTCAGGTAAGAGATTCTTTCCTCAGCTTAGTCTGTTCTGTTATTAATCCTTCCAATTGCATTCTGAAATTTCTGTAGTGAACTTTTTATTTCCAGAAATTGGTTCTTTCTTAAAATGGTTATGTCATCTTTCAACTCTTGTACTGTTTTACTGTTTTCCTTGGATTGGCTTTCAACCTTCTCCTGTATCTTGATGAGCTTCTTTGCCATCTAGATTCTTAATTCTATGTCTGTCATTTCAGCTATTTTACTCATATTAAGAACCATTGCTAGGGAGCTAATGTGGTAGTTTGGAGGTAAGAAGATGCTTATGCTTTTAGAGTTGCCAGAGTTTGTGAACTAGTTCTTTCTCATCTGTGTGGGCTGATGTTCCTTTGATCTTTGATATTGCTGTCTTTTGGATGGGCTTTTTTGCTTTCATTTTCTTTGATACTATTGAGGGTTTGACTGTGGCACAAGTTGAGTGTAGTCCATTGGCTTCCTTTCTGTATTATTTTAGTGGCCTAAGGCTCAGCTCAGCACTCCTGGACTGTATGTTCTAACCCTGGGTAGGGGGCTGTGACCTGGCCTAGGGCTTTGTTGTCTGGCCCCATGAGTTTAAGCACCACTGTGCTGGGGAGGCCAAGGGGTCCCCAGTTCACTGGCACCAACACTCCCATGAAGCTGCTGGCAAAAATGCTCCAGCAGGGTGGTGATGGGCCCCCGCATGTGTGCATGCTGGTGGGGCAGCTTCGGGTTCATATTTGCATGCACGCCAGTGGGTACACACAGAAATAAAATTTTAAAAAATAAAAATAAAAAGGAATTGATAACATCGAAATATGAGAAGACAGAGCTATAGCCTCAGATGTTAATGTAGTCTTCCTCCAAGATTAATTCCATTCACAAGCAAAGTTTCCTGACAGATAAAAATGAGATAATAAATACATAACAATGTTTTATATTCATTAAGCACTTTTCCTCCTGAGAGTTCAAAGTGCTTCCAAATCCATTCTCTTCCACCCTACACTGCAACCTGAGAAGTAAGCAAGTATATATTTATAAGAAGTTGTAGAGATAAAGAAGACAATTAAAACAATAAAGTTAATAATTCCAACACAAGTTAACTCCAACAGGAGTTAGTAATGCTGTGGTTTCATTTTAAACTTAATAAAACTATTTTGAATTTTCCCCATAAACTTTACCAAAGTGATATAGTTGGCTGAAATGAATGTCCTTTAATTATACCCATAATCACAAATTGTCCTCTGGGAGATTCGTAGGGTAACAGCTCTTAGCTGTTCCTATTACCTTGTATAAGGCAAGCAAGTGAGGCCAGGAGCTACTATATTCAGTAGTATTGTACAGATGCTCTTGGACTCACTGTGGGGTTACGTCACAATAAACTCATTGTAAGTTGAAAATATACTAAGTTGAAAATGCTTTTAATACACTTAACCTACTGAACATGATAGCTTAGCCAAACATACCTTAAACATGCTCAGAACACTTACATTAGCCTACAACTAGACAAAATCATCTAATGCAGTCTATTTTATTACAAAGTGTTGAATATCTTATGTAATTTATTGAATAACGTACTGAAAGTGAAAACCAGAATGGTTGTATGAGTACTTGAAGTATTGTTTCTACTGATGATGTATCATTTTGACACTATCATAAAGTTTAAAATTCCTCTGTTTTTTTTTTGAGGAAAGGGCATTATCATAAGTAACAAGAACTATTGGAACTTGTCATTCATTCATTAATCTGGTTTGAATCTAAAGCTAGCCACACCTAGCCTGAATTATGTATATCAGGGGATACTCTAATTCTCTGCTAATCCCCACCCCTCCTCACACACGCTTAGTTGTGCTACAGTGATTTAAGATGGGTTTAACCTATCACAGTTTCAGTTCAATTGAAGGACAATTTGTTCAAAACCTGCACCTCTTTGCTTGCTTCCCCAGCCTTTGCTTGTAACCACTAGCTAACCCAACACAAACACCTTACAATCAACCTAAGATAGACTGTGGTTTTGGGGTTGGAGGAGGTGGAGGTGGAAGATGGTATTGGAAAGGTCTTAGTTCTTATTGTTTAAAAGTGACGTTTGACTTTCTGCCAAAAGGGGCCCCTACCTCAGGATAAATATTTTGATAAAGCTCTGTACAAATGTTGGGAATGGTAGAGAAAACTTTCTCTCTGCCAAGACATAGTAAGTACATAACAAGTAGGGCTAACACTGAAGCTGCAACATGGTAGTTTTTGGGAGGTCAACCTGGACCTCTCTGGGTCCAAACACACTCTAGAGTGAGCAGCACAATCAGTGCTTATATAAAAGCAGAGAGAGATTTATTATTTGTGTAGATCCATGCAAATGAGTATATGAGTGATTTTCCAAGCATATAAAATGAAAGGCTTCAAATGGTAATATGGACTTTGAGAGGGCACTTAGTTCACCTTTCTATCTCTAGCCATATAGAAAATTTATCTTACAAAGCTAAAGCAATTGTTTCTTCTTTCTTTAAAACAAATCTTCATACAAAGAGATGTCACAAACACTTGATGATACGTACCAGCCTTATGCTTCTTATGCAAATGACTTAACCATAATAGAGACAGGGTTACCATAGTAAATAATTTCGTTTTCCATCACTTTGTGCAGTGAGCAGGGCAAACAAAGCCAGCAACAAGAGGCCTTGCACATGGCATGCACAGCTGCTAACCAGAGAACAGATTATATGCATATTTAGCACAGAAAGGATTCTAAAGCGTGGAACAATCTTTTCTCTCTCTCTCTCTGTCTGTCTCTCTCTCTTTCTCTCTCTCACACACACACACGCACATCAAAGCAATCAGTTAATAATACAGAAGCTAACCAAAAGGATTATGTGGGAGTTGTTTGCATTTATAATTTCTAACAATGTAGCATTTGTCTAAGGAAATGTTCCTTGTTATAATAAAAAATAATGAGGCTCAGTTTTTACTTTTTCTTGCAAAAAATCCATATTTCTCTGAAAGGATACAGCCCCTATCAGCCAAGTTTCACCTAAAACAAGTTTTAAAGCCACTTCTCCTAATGTATCTGTAAAGATTAAATCCGTATTAACACTGCTAAGGAAAAGATTGCTCAGAAGCTACCACAGTCAGGGCCACTGCTGCTGCTTGACTTAAGACCACCATTGTTGGTCCATTGTGTGCCATTGGGACTGTCATTCCCTTACACCTCCAGGCTTCTAGGGCAGTTGCTACCTTCTCCACTGACCATGTTTCCTCAGATCAATGAAGTTAAGAGCCTTAACACCACCACAACTGCTCTTTTCATATGCTGATACCAGGCACTACTGAGCCAGAGCTGCTCCAGCTAGAATTTTGTCTTTACTAGGATTTTTTAGTTTTTTCCTTTAACTGCCAGACAGAGGCTTTTCCTCTCATAACTGCTATTCCTCAGTTAACACATATTCCTCACAAAGTAGCCCTCTGAATCATAGTTACTTCTATTAAGGATATAGACCCCAGAGATCCACACAAGTTGTGGAAGAGATTTCTGAAAGGGTGTGTTGTGGGTGCTTGCATAAATGGTCTTCTCTTCACAATGCCCATATATTGTGCCTGTGGCTACTAATTCCAGTTAGGCCCAGGGCTGACATTTGGTCTTGTACCAATTTGAAACCATTGTACTAAATGTCTACTCTCCAAAACAGAGGTTTATAATCTGGCTACAAAGCAGAACCCCCCAGGAAATTATAAAAATGTGTATTTTCAGATCCCACTGCAGCCCTACTGAACAGAATATGCATTTAAAAAATCTACATAAACCAGACTTGGGAGTGACATCAACAAAATGGCAGAGGGAAGCTCAAGGCTTCTATTCTCCTACAGAAATATTATTTAAAAAAAAAACAACTAGATAACTGACTAAACTAACTTTATAGGAGCTCTTAAAATCAAAGATCTATAGTTATCAAGCAAATGACTAATACAGAAAAAGCCACATTAAAACATTAAAATTCTGTGGCATTTTTACTTCCCATTGCCCTACCCCCTCCATGGCATGGCATAGTTTGCTGTAAACAGTGACCAGATTCCCAGTTCCCTTCCATGAACTGGAGAATGCAGAGCAGACCAAATTTTCAACTTTATAACCTGCCTGAAGGCTGTCTGTGAGATTGGTCTCCAGGTCACCTAGCTCAAATCTCAGACTAGAAAATACTATGGAAAGTAGCATGCATGGCTCCTGGAAACCACAAGAGATGACAGAACCATGGATTTCCAGAAGCAAAAAATTACAGGCACAGTAATACAACAGAACATTTAAGGCCCAAGAAGAAGCAGGGGTAAAACTCTCAGGGAAATAAAATGTTTAAAAGCTTTGTGGGGGTAGAAATACAAAGAACACCACAAAGATACTCCTCGAAAAGAGCAACTCCAAGACATAATTGTCAGATTTATCAAGGTTGAAATGAAGGAAAAAATGTTAAGGGCAGCCAGGGAGAAAGATTGAATTACCAACGAAGGGAAGTCCATCAGACTAATAGCAGATTTCTCTGCAGAAACTCTGCAAGCCAGAAGACAGTGGGAGGAGGTATTCAACATTCTTAAAGAAAAGAATTTTCAGCCCGGAATTTCATATCCACCCAAACTAAGCTTCATAAGCAAAGGAGAAATAACATCCTTTACAGACAAGCAAATGTCGAGAGATTTTGTCACCACCAGGCCTGCCTTACAATAGCTACTGAAGGAAGCACAAAATATGGAAAGAGAAAACTGGTACCAGCCACTGCAAAAACATGCTGAATTATAAAGACCATCAACACGAAGAAACTGCATCAATTAATGGGCGAAACAACCTGTTAGCATAATAATAACTGGATCAAATTCACACATAACAATATTAACCTTAAATGTAAATGGGCTAAATGTCCTAATTAAAAGACACAGACTGGCAAATTGGATAAAGAGTGAAGACCCATTGATGTGCCCTATTCAGGAGACCCATCTCAAGTGCAAAGACACATAGGTTCGAAATAAAGGAATGAAGGAAGATTTACCAAGCAAATTGGAAAGCAAAAAAAGCAGAGATTGCAATCCTAGTCTCTGATAAAACAGACTTTAAACCAAGAAAGATCAAATGAGACAAAGAAAGGCATTACATAATGGTAAAGGGATCAATGCAACAAGAAGAACTAACTACCCTAAATATATATGCACCCAATACAGGAGCACCCAGATTCATAAAACAAGTTCTTAGAGACCTACAAAGAGACTTAGACTCCAACACAATAATAGTGGGAGACTTTAACACCCCACTGGCAATATTAGATAGATCAATGAGACAGAAAATTAACAAGGATATTTAGGACTTGAACTCAGCTCTGGAGCAAGTAAACCTAATAGACATTTACAGAACGCTCTACCCCAAATCAACAGAATACACATTCTTCTTAACACCATATCACACTTATTCTAAAAGTGACCACATAATTAGAAGTAAAACACTCCTCAGCAAATGCAAAAGAATGAAAATCATAACAAACAGTCTCTCAGACAAGAGTGCAATCAAATTAGAACTCAAGATTAAGAAACTCACTCAAAACCACACAACTACAGGGAAACTGAACAACCTGCTCCTGAATGACTACTGGGTAAATAACAAAATTAAGAAAGAAAGAAATAAGTTCTTTGAAACCGATGAGAACAAAGACACAACATACCAGAATCTCTGGGACACAGCTAAAGCAGTGTTTAGAGGGAAATTTATAACATTAAATGCCCACAGGATAAAGCAGGAAAGATCTAAAATCGACACCCTAACATCACAATTAAAAGAACTAGAGAAGCAAGAGCAAATGAATTCAAGAGCTAGCAGAAGACAAGAAATAACTAAGATCAGAGCAGAACTGAAGGAGATGGAGACATGAAAAACCCTTCAAGAAATCAATGAATCCAGGACCTGGTTTTTTGAAAAGATTAATAAAATAGATAGACTGCAAGCCAGACTAACACAGAAGAAAAGAGAGAAGAATCAAGTACACACAATAAAAATGATAAAAGGGACATCACCACTGATCCCACAGAAATACAAACTACCAACAGAGAATAATATAAACATCTCCATGCAAATAAACTAGAAAATCTAGAAGAAATGAATAAATTCCTGTACACATACACCATTCCAAGACTAAACTAGAAAGAAGTGGAATCCCTGAATATACCAATAACAAGTTCTGAAATTGAGGCAGTAATTAATAGCCTACCAACAAAGAAAAATCCAGGACCAGATGGATTCACAGCCGAATTCTACCAGAGGTACAAAGAGGAGCTGGTACCATTACTTCTGAAACTATTCCAAACAATAGAAAAAGAGGGACTCCTCCTCAACTCATTTTATGAAGCCAGCATCATCCTGATACCAAAACCTGGCAGAGACACACAAAAAAAGAAAATTTCAGGCCAATATCCCTGATGAATATTGACGCAAAAATCCTCAATAAAATACTGGCAAACCAAATTCAGCAGCACATCAAAATCTTATCCATCACGATCAAGATGGCTTCATCCCTGGGATGCAAGGCTGGTTCAACATACACAAATCACTAAACGTAATCCATCACATAAACAGAACCAATGACAAAACCCCATGATTATCTCAATAGATGCCGAAAAGGCCTTTGATAAAAATGAATATCCTTCATGCTAAAAACTCTCAACAAACTAGGTATTGATGGAATGTATCTCAAAATAACAAGAGCTATTTGTGACAAACCCACAGCCAACATCATACTAAATGGGCAAAAGCTGGGAGCATTCTCTTTGAAAACCAGCACAAGACAAGGATGCCCTCTTTCACCATTCCTATTCAACATATTATTGGAAGGTCTGGCCAGTGCAATCAGTCAAGAGAAAGAAATAAAGGGTATTCAGTTAGGAAAAGAGATAGTCAAACTGTCTCTGTTTGCAGATGACATGATTGTATATTTACAAAACCCCATCGTCTCAGCCCCAAATCTCCTTAAGCTGATTAACAACTTAAGCAAAGTCTCAGGATACAAAATAAATGTGCAAAAATCACAAGCATTCCTATACACCAATAATTGACAAACAGAGAGCCAAATCATGAGTGAACTCCCATTCACAATTGCTACAAAGAGAATAAAATACCTAGGAATACAACTTACAAGGGATATGAAGGACTTCTTCAAGGAGAACTACAAATCACTGCTCAAGGAAATAAGAGAGGACACAAACAAATGGAAAAAGATTCCATGCTCATGAATAGGAAGAATCAATATCATGAAAATGGCCATACTGCCTAAAGTAATTTATAGATTCAATGCTAGCTCCGTCAAGCTACCATTGACTTTCTTCACAGAATTAGAAAAAACTTTAAGTTTCATATGGAAACAAAAAAGAGCCCGTATAGCCAAGACAATCCTAAGCAAAAAAAAAAAAAAAAAACAAAAAAAAACAAAGCTGGAGGCATCATGCTACCTGACGTCAAACTGTACTACAAGGTTACAGTAACCAAAACAGCATGGTACTGGTACCAAAACAGAGATATAGACCAATGGAACAGAACAGAGACCTCAGAAATAATGCCACACATGTACAACCATCTGATCTTTGGCAAACCTGACAAAAACAAGAAATGGGGAAAGGATGCCCTATTTAATAAATGGTGCTGGGAAAACTGGCTAGCCATATGCAGGAAACTGAAACTGGATGCCTTCCTTATACCTTATACAAAAATTAACTCAAGATGGATTAAAGACTTAAACATAAGACCTAAAACCATAAAAACCCTAGAACAAAACCTAGGCAATACCATTCAGGACATAGGCATGGACGAGGACTTCATGACTAAAATACCAAAAGCAATGGCAACAAAAGCCAAAATTGACAAATGTATCTAATTAAACTAAAGAACTTCTGCACAACAAAAGAAGCTATCATTAGAGTGAAAAGGCAACCTACAGAATGGGAGAAAATTTTTGCAATCTATCCATCTGACAAAGGGCTAATATCCAGAATATAGAAATAACTTAAATTTACAAAAAAAAACCCATCAATAAGTGGGCAAAGGATATGAACAGACACTTCTCAAAAGAAGACTTTATGTGGCCAACAAACATATGAGAAAAAGCTCATCATCACTGGTCATTAAAGAAATGCAAATCAAAACCACAATGAAACATCATCTCATACCAGTTAGAATAGTGATCATTAAAAAGTCAGGAAACAGATTCTAGAGAGGATGTGGAGAAATAGGAAAGCTTTTACACTGTTGGTGGGAGTGTAAATTTGTTCAATTATTGTGGAAGACAGTGTGGCGATTTCTCAAGGATCTACAACCAGAAATACCATTTGACTCAGCAATCCCATTACTGGGTATATACCCAAAGGATTATAAACCTTTCTGCTATTAAGACACATACACATGTATGTTTATTGCAGCACTGTTCACTATAGCAAAGACATGGAACCAAATCAAATGCCCATTAATGATAGAATGGATGAAGAAAATGTGGCACATATACACCATGGAATACTATCCAAACATAACTTTTCTCAGCAAACTAACACAGGAACAGAAAACCAAACACCACATGTTCTCACTCATAAGTGAGAGTTGAACAGTGAGAACAACACATGGACACAGGGAGGGGAACATCACACACCAGGGCCTGTCAGGGGATGAGGGGCTGGGGGAGGGATAGCATTAGATGAAATACTTAATGTAGATGACAGGTTGATGGGTGCAGCAAACCACCATGGCATGTGTATACCTATGTAACAAACCTGCACATTCTACACATGTATTTCATATCTTAAAGTTTAATAATAATTTTAAAAAGAGAACAAGAAAAAAAGCTTTGTATACCAAGAAGTTGAGAAAAAGCACATACACAGGTCCGTGAAAGATACATGCCAAGAAACTGTGTCTAGAAATCTTAAGACTTCACACAATGTATTAACAAAGGTATCTTTCTGCAAGGTGCCAGTCTGAAAAGATGAGAGGGGTGTCTCTTTTTTTCAAATGCCCAATTTTTAATAAAAGAACACAAGGCCTACAAAGAATTAGGAAAGCATGGCCCACTGATAGAAAGAAAATAAATCTGTGGAAACTATCCCTGAAGAAGAACAGATTTTGGAATTACTTTAAAAAACTTTCTCAAATATGCTAAAAGACAAAGACTGTAAACAACTGTCTCAAATATGCTAAAAGAACAAAAAGAAAACATAGGCAAAGAACTAAAGAAAATCAGAAAAACCGTATATGAACAAAATGAGAATATCGGCAAAGAGATAACAGGTAATTAAAAAAAAAATGAATCAGGCTAGGCACTGTGGCTTGCACCTGCAGCCACAACACTTTTGGAGGCCAAGGTAGGCAGATTGCTTGAGCTCAGGAGTTCAAGACCAGCCTGGGCAACATAGTGAGATTCCATCTCTACAAAAAATAAAAACATTAGCTGGGAGTGGTGGTATTCATGTAGTCCCAGCTACTCTGGAGGCTGGAATAGGTGGATTGCTTGAGCCTGGGTGGTCAAGTTGTGATCACACAACTGCACTCCAGCCTGGGTTATAAAGTAAGACCTTGTCAAAAAGAAAAAAAAAAAAGAACCAAATAGAGATTCTAGGAGCTGTAAGCAAAAAGAAAAATAAATGAACATACGTAAACAGAGTCTAAGGGACTTACAGAACACCATTAAGCAGACAAACAAATGTTACAGGAGTTCAAAAAGGAGAATAGAAAGAGGCAGAGAGCTTATTTGAAGAAAAAACGGCAGAAAACTTCCCAAATTTGAAAAAAGACATGGATATACAAATGTAGGGAGCTCAATAAACTCTAAGTAGGATAAAATCAAAGTGATCCACACTGAGACATATTATAATCAATCTCTCCCAATCTGAAGACAGAGAGAATTTTGAAAAAGAAAAGTGGCCTATGATCAATAAATCCTTCATAAGATTATCAGTGGATTTTTCAACAGAATTTTTTAGGCCAGAAGGCAGTGAAGTGCTATATTTAAAATGCCTTAAAAAAAATGGTCGAATGACAATTCTATACCTGACAATTCTGTGCTTCAAAAATGAGTGAGAAAGTAAGACTTACCCAAATAAACAAAAGCTAAGGGAATTCGTGATGACTGGATCTGCCCTACAAGAAATGCTAAGGGTTACCCTTCAAGTTGAAATGAAAGGTTGCTAGACAGTAACTCAAAATCATATGAAAATATAAAGTTATCTGGTAAAGGTTAATACATGGACAAATATAAAAACATGAATTATAATTTTGACTAAAACTTACACTTTTTATTCCTCTACAGGACTAAAGATATAAAAATAATTTTAAATATATATTAATATGTATACTATATATAGATATAATAGGTGACATTAATAACATAAAGTGTAAGGGGTGGCAGAGCTGTAAAGGTACAGAGTTTGTATGTACTTGAAGTCAAATTGATATCAGATTAAAATAGATTGTTATAACTTTAGGTTATTACATGTCATTCCCATGGTAACCACAGAGAAAATATCTATAGGATATACACAAAAGAATATGAGAAATGCATAAAAACGTGTGACTACAAAACCCAGCTAAGTGTAAAAGAAAACAGTGAGGGAGGAAATAAGGGATAAAAAGTTATGACATATTAAAAAAAAAATAACAGGGGGTGGGACAAAGATGGCCAACTAGAAACAGTGGCGACGAGAGGCTCCCATCCAAAAGAACCATAATAAGCTTGTGAATCCTTCACCGGCAAGGTATCCATGTTCTCTCATCAGAACTGACTAGGAAGCTGGCATGATACACGGAGAGGAAGGAAGAGCAGTGTGGTGCAGTAGCCCACCTGAAAGCCACATGGGACAGGGGAGTCTCCACCCTCTGGCCAAGGGAGGTGGTGAGTGAGCATGCTACCCACCTGGGGAAACTGTGCTTCTTCCATGGAACTGTGCAACCCATGGATCGGAAGATCCCACTAGCGATCCTATGCCACCGGGGCCTAGCGTCCAAACTCCAGAGCTGCTCAGATTCTCAACAGCCTCTCAGCTGGAATCTGCTTAAGCCTACTGGGACCCCGGTGGGGGGATGGTTGACAAGCACCACAGTTGCAGCTGCTTGCTGTCTAAGCCATTTGAGCTCCTTATGGGAGGGGCAGCAGCCAGCACTGGGACTCACAACGGCCTAACACACTGAGCTCTCTGGGCAGGGGAAGGGTGATATCTATCTCCATAGCTCCAGGCTGTGCATTTCCCCTGCTGGAACCAGGGAGGCTGGACATCTTGGTCCCGAGACTGTCCTCCACAGCTCAACACACTGGCGTGGCAGACTGCAGACAGAATGCCTCTTCAGGCTAGACCCTGATTCATTCTTCCTCAGTGGGTGAGGCTTTTCTGCAGGAACTCCAATAACTCCATCCAGAGGCTCAGAGACAGAACCTGGATCTCCCTGGGGCTGAGCCACTAGGGGGAGGGGTAGCTACAGTTTCTGTGGACCAGGAGACTTAGCATTTCCTCCTGGTAGTTCTGAGGAATCTGGGAAGCCCAGATGAGTGTGTTTCCCCCCAGCAAAGCACACCTCCTCCACCAAGGGACAAAGTACTTCATTAAATTGGTCCTGTTCCCTGTGCCATTCAACTGGATGAGATCCTCCAACAGGGGTTGTCAGACACCCTATACAGGAGTGATCCTACTGGCATCAGGGTGGTGCCCCTCAAGGTCAGATATCCCAGAAAAAGGAGGAGGTACTCATCTTTGCTTTTCTCCAGACTCCTTGAGTGACATCTCCAGGCACAGGAGCAAATCGGATGAATGGGGCCTGAAGTGAACCCCCAGCAAACTGCAGCAGGCCTACAGAAGTGGGACCTCACTATTGAAAGAAAAACAAACAATCAGAAAGTGACAACAACAGCATCATCAACAACACAAAACCCCCCACAAAAACCCCATCCAAGGGTCAGCAGCCTCAAAGACTGAAATTAGACAAACATGAAGATAAGAAAGAGTCAATGAAAAAAATGCTGAAAACCCAAAAGGCCAAAGTGCTTCTTCTCCTCCAAATGATTGCAACATCTCTCCATGAGGGCACAGAACTGGATGAAGGATTAGATGGACGGATTGACAGAGGTAGGCTTCAGAAGATGGGTAATACAAAACTACACTAAGCTAAAGGAGCATGTTCTATCCCAATGCAGAGAAGCTAAGAACATTGATAAAAGGTTAGAGGAATTGCTAGCTGGAATAACCGAATTAGAGAGGAACATAAATGACCTGACAGAGCTGAAAAACACAGCACAAGAACTTCATGAAGCATACACAAGTATCAATAGCCAAATCAACAAAGGAGAAGAAAGGATATCAGAAATTGAAGACCACCTTGCTGAGATAAGGCATGCAGACAAGACTAAAGAAAAAGGAATGAAAAGGAATGAACAAAGTCTCCAAGAAATATGGGACTTCATAAAAGAGACTGAACCTAAAATTGACTGGAGTACCTGAAGGAGACAAGGAGAATGGAAACAAGCTGGAAAACACACTTTAGGATATTATCCAGGAGAAATTACCCAACCTAGCAAGACAGGCCAACATGCAAATTCAGGAAATACAGAGACACCACTAAGTACTTCGCAAGAAGATCAATCCCAAAACACATGATCATTAGATTCTCCGAGGTTGAAATGAAGGAAAAATGTTAAGGGCAGCCAGACAGAAAGGCCAGGTCACCTACAAAGGGAAGCCCATCAGACTAACAGAGGACCTCTCAGCAGAAACTCTAAAGCCAGAAGAGATTGGGGGCCAATATTCAACATTCTTAAAGAAAAGAATTTTCAACCCAGAATTTCATATCCAGCCAAACTAAGCTTCATAAGCCAAGGAGAAATAAAATCCTTTCCAGACAAGCAAATGCTGAGGAATTTCATACCACCAAGCCTGCCTTGCAAAAGCTACTGAAAGAAGCACTAAATATGGAAAGGAAAAACCAGCATCGGTCACTGCAAAACACACCAACATTTAAAGACCAATGACACTTTGAAGAAACTGCATCAACTAGTGTGCAAAATAAACAGATAGCATCATGATGACAGGATGAAATTCACATATAACAATACTAACATTAAATGTAAATAGGCTAAATGCCCCAATTAAAAGACACAGACTGGCAAATTGGATAAAGAGTCAAGACTCATCGGTGTGCTGTATTAGGGAGACCATCTCAGGTGCAAAGACACCCATAGGCTCAAAATAAAAGGATGGAGGAATATTTACCAAGCAAACGAAAAGCAAAAAATAAAAATAAAATAAAGCAGGGACTACAATCCTAATCTCTTATAAAACAGACTTTAAACAAACAAAGATCAAAAAAGACCAAAAGGGCATTACATAATTGTTAAGGGAACAATTCAACAAGAAGAGCTACCTATTCTAAATATATATGCATGCAATACAGGAAAACCCAGATTTATAAAACAAGTTCTTAGAGGCCTACAAAGAGAATTAGACTTCCAGACAATAAGAGTGGGAGACTTTAACACCCCACTGTCAATATTAGACAGATCAATGAGACAGAAAATTAACAAGGATATTCAGGACTTGAACTCAGCTCTGGATCAAGTGGACCTAATTGCCATCTACAGAACTCTCCACCCCAATCAACAGGCTATACATTCTTCTCAGTGCCAGATGGCACTTATTCAAAAATCAACAACATAATTGGAAGTAAAACACTCCTCAGTAAAGGCAAAAGAACTAAAATCATAACAAAAAGTCTCTCAGACCACAGTGCAATCAAATTACAACTCAGGATTAAGAAACTCACTCAAAACCACAAAATTACATGGAAGTTGGACAACCTGCTTCTGAGTAACTCCTGGGTAAATAATGAAATTAATGCAGAAATAAAGAAGTTATTTGAAACCAATGAGAACAAAGAGACAATGTACCAGAATCTGGGACACAGCTAAAGCAGTGTTAAGAGGGAAATTTATAACTCTAAATGGACATATCAGAAAGCTAGAAAGATCTCAAATCAACACCCTAACATCACAATTAGGAGACCTAGAGAGTCAGGAGCAAACTAATCCAAAAGCTGGCAGAAGACAAGAAAAAACTAAGATCAGAACAGAATTAAAGGAGATAGAGACACAAAAAACACTCCAAAAAAATCAATGAATCCAGAAGCTTGTTTTTTGAAATAATTAACAAAATTACCATTAGCTAAACTAATAAAAAAGAAAAGAGAGATCAAATAGACACAATAAAAAATGATAAGTAAGATGTCACCACAGACCCCACAGAAATACAAACTACCATCAAAGAATACTATAAACACTTCTATGCAAATAAACAGGAAAATCTAGAAGAAATGGATAAATTTCTGGACACATACACCCTCCCAAGACTAAACCAGGAAGAAGTCAAATCCCTGAATGGACCAATAACAAGTTCTGAAATTGAGGCAGCAATTACTAACCTACCAACCAAAAAACCCTAGGACCAGATTGATTCACAGCCAAATTCTACCAGAGGTACAAAGAGGAGCTGGTACCATTCTTTCTGAAATTATTCCAAAGAATTGAAAAGGAGGAACTCTTCCCTGAATCATTTTATTACGCCAGCATTATCCTGATACCAAAATCGGTAAAAGACACAACAAAAAAAGAAAACTTCAGGCCAATATCCCTGATGAACATTAATGCAAAAATTCTGAGTAAAATACTGGCAAACCAAATCCAGCAGCACATCAAAAAACTTATCCACTATGATCAAGTCAGCTTCATCCCTGGGATGCAAGGCTAGTTCAACATATGCAAATCAAAAAATGTAATCCATTGCATAAACAGAATCAAAGATAAAAACCACATAATTATCTCAATAGATGCAGAAAAAGCCTTTGATAAAATTCAACATCCTTTCTGTTAAAAACTCTCAATAAACTAAGTATTGATGGAACATTTCTCAAAATAATAAGAGCTATTTATGACAAACCCACAGCCAATATCATATTGAATGGGCAAAAGCTGGATGCATTCCCTTTGAAAACCGATACAAGACAAGGATGCCCTCTCTCACCACTCCTATTCAACATAGTATTGGATGTTCTAGCCAGGGCAATCAGGCAAGAGAAGGAAATAAAGCATATTCAAATAGGAAGTGAGGAAGTCAAATTGTCTCTTTTTGCAGACAACATGATTTTGTATTTAGAAAACCCCATCACCTCAGCCCCAAAACTCCTCAAACTGATAAGCAACTTCAGCAAAGTCCCCAGATACAAAATCAATGTGCAAAACTCACAAGCATTCATTCATACCAACAGCAGACAAGCAGGGAGCCAAATCATGAATGAACTCCCATTCACATCGCTATAAAGAGAAGAAAATACCTAGGAATAGAGCTAACAAGGGATGTGAAAGAGCTTTTCAAGGAGAACTACAAACCACTGCACAAGGAAATAAGAGAGCATGTAAACAAGTGGAAAAACATTCCATCCTCATAGATACTGATTCTTCTTATCCATATCAATATCACAAAAATGGTCATAGTGCCCAAAGTAATTTATAAGTTCAATCCTATTCCAATCAAACTATCATTGACATTCTTCACAGAATTAGAAAAAAACTACTTTAAATTTCATATGGAAACAAAAAAGAGCCTGTATAGCCAAGACAATCCTAAGCAAAAAGAGCAAAGCTGGAGGCCTCATGCTACCTGACTTCAAACTATACTACAAGGCTACAGTAACCAAAATAGCACATTACTAGTATCAAAACAGACATATAGACTAATGGAACAGAACAGAGACCTCAGAAACAACATCACAAATCTACAACCATCTGATTTTCTACAAACCTGACAAAAACAAGCAATGGGGAAAGGATCTCCTATTCAGTAAATGGCACTGGGAAAACTGGTTAACCATATGCAGAAAACTGAAATTGGACGCCTTCCTTACACCTTATACAAAAATTAACTAAAGATGGATTAAAGACTTAAATGTAAAACCCCCAAACCATAAAAACCCTAGAAGAAAACCTAGGCAATACCATTCAGGACATAGGCATGGGCAAAGACTTCATGATAAAAATGCCAAAAGCAATTGGCACAAAAGCCAAAATTGACAAATGAGACGTAATTAAACTAAAGAGCTTCTGCACAGCAAAAGAAACTATCATCAGGGTGAACAGGCAAGCTACAGAATGGGAGAAAATTTTTGCAATCTACCCATCTGACAAAGGGCTAATATCCAGAATTCACAAGGAACTTAAACATATTTACAAAAAAAACAGAACCCCATAAAAAAAGGGGGCAAAGGATATGAACAGACACTTCTCAAAAGAAGACATTTTCACGGCCAACAAACATATGAAAACAAGCTCAACATCACTGATCGTTAGAGAAATGCAAATCAAAACCACAATGATATACCATCTCACACCAGTCGGACTGGTGATTATTGAAAAGGCAAGAAACAATAGATGCTGGTGAGGCTGTGGAGAAATAGGAACACTTTTACACTGTTGGTAGGAATGTAAATTAGTTCAACCATTGTGGAAGACAGAATGGTGATTCTGCAGGGATCTGGAACCAGAAATACCATTTGACCCAGCAATCCCATTACTGGGTATATATCCAAAGGAATATAAATCATTATACTATAAAGATGATGCACATGTATGTTTATTGCAGCACTATTTACAATAGTGCAGTCATGGAACCAACCAAAATTCCCATCAATAATAGACTGGATAAAGAAAATGTGGCACATATACACCATGGAATACTACACAACCATAAAAAGGAATGAGATCATATCCCTTGCAGGGACATAAAGGAAACTGGAAACCATCATCCTCAGCAAATTAACACAGGAACAAAAAACCAAACACTGCTTGTTCTCACTCACAAGTGGGAGTTGAACAATGAGAACACATGGACACAGGGAGGGGAACAACACACACCAGGGCCTGTTAGTGGGTGGGGGATGAGGGGAGGGAACTTAGAGGATGGGTCAATAGGTGTAGCAAACAACCATGCCACGTGTATACCTATGTAACAAACCTGCAGGTTCTGCACATGTATACTGGAACTTAAAGTAAAAAATTTTTTAAAAATAGGCCAGGTGCGGTGGCTCATGCCTATAATTCTGGCAGTTTAGGAGGCCAAGGTGGGTGGATCACTTGGGCTCAGGAGTTTGACACCAGCCTGGGCAACATGGCGAAACCCTGTCTCTACCAAAAATGCAATGAAAATTAGCCAGATGTGGTGGTACATGCCTGTGATCCCAGCTACTTGGGAGGCTGAGGTGGGAGGATCACTTGACCTGGGAGGTGGAGGTTGCAGTGAGCCAAGATTGCACCACTGCACTCAAGCCTGGGTTACAGAGTGAGACCCCATCTCAATAAAAGAAAACAAACAAACAAACAAACAAACAAAAAACAACAAAAATAGCAATAGTAAGTCCTCCTCTATATGTAATTACTTTAAGTTAAGTAGATAAATTCTCCAATTTAATCTATGTCCCCAAGAGACATAGATTAGCAAAGTGGATTAAAATGTAGGATCCAACTGTATGTTGTCTGTAGGGGACTCATTTTGGATCTAAGAATGTGCATAGGTTAAAAGTGAAAGGATAGAAAAAGACATTTTGTGCAAATAACAACAAAGAGAGAGCAAGGTTGATTATACTAATATCAGATAAAATAGATTTTTGGACAAAAACTGTTACAAGAGACAAAGAAGAACACTATATAATAATCATCCACCAATAAGATATCTAAATTGTAAACATATACACACAAATCACCAGAACTCCTAAATATATGTGGCAAACCTTGACATAATTAAAGGGAGAAATAGTTTTATAATAATAGTTGGAGACCAGTACCTCACTTTCAATAAAGGATAAAATAATCAGACAGAAGATTAACAAGGAAATAGGGAACTTGAGCAGCATAGGCCTATCAGATCTAACAGACATATACAAAACATTCCACCCAAGAAGAGTAGAACATACATTTTTCTGCATATATATTACTTACACATAGAATATTCTCCAAGAAAGATCATGTGTTATACCATAAAACAAGTCTTCATAAATTTAAAATTACTGAAATAATACAAAGTACTTTTTCATTCCCAGTGGAATGAAACTAGAAACCAATAACAGAGGGAGAATTGGAAAATATGCAAATGTATGAAAATTAATCAACACACTCAAATAACAAATGAGTCAAAGAAAAAATAAAAAGTAAAATTAGATAATGCTCAGAGACAAATGAAAATGAAAACAAAACATACCAAAACTTATGGCATGTAGTGAAAGCAGTGCTGAGAGGAAAATTTATACCTGTAAATGCTTTCATTAAAAATGAAGAAAGATCTCAATTTAACAATCTAACTTTATGTCTTGAGAACTATACGAAGAACAAACTAAACAAAGCTAGAAGAAAAAGATAAATAATAAAGATTAGAGCAGAAATAAAACAATATAGACAAACAATAGAGAAAGTCAACAAAATCAAGAATTTGTTACTTGAAAAGATCAACAAAATTGACAAATGTTTAGCTAGATTGACAAAGAAAAAGAGAGAGGACTCAGGTACTTAAAATCAGAAAGGAAAAGGGGGACATAACTACTAATTTTATAGAAATAAAAAAATTATGAGTTTTATGAGTGATTGTACAGTAACAAGTTGGATCATCTAAATGAAATGAACACATTTCTAGAAACTCACAACCCATCAAAACTGAATCATGTCAAGAAGAAACAGTAAATCTTAATATACTTGTAAGTAGTATGAAGATAAAAACAATAATTAAAAAAACTCATAGAAAGAAAAAAAAACCTAGGACCAGATGGCTGCTCTGGTAAATTGTATCAACAATTAAAAGAAGAATTAAAATCAATACACCTCAAACTGTTCCAAAAATCAGAGAGGAAATAATACTTCCAAACTCATTCTATGACACCAGTCTTATCCTGATAACAAAGCCAGGCAAATTCACTACATGAAAAGAAAACTATGGACCAATATCCCTTATGAATATTGATGCAAAAACTCTCAACAAAACACTAGCAACTCATATTCAACAACATATTAAAAGGATTATACTCTATGACCAAGTGGGATTTACTCCTGGAATGCAAGGATGGTTGGCTATACAAAAAGCAATCAATGTAGTGCAATACATTAGTGAATACATTTATTAATAAATACATGATTATCTCAAAGGGTACAGGGAAAGCACTTGACAAAATTGAACAACTTTTCATGATAGAAAAAAACTCAACTAATTTGGAATTAAAGGAAATTATCTCAACATAATAAGGGCCATATATGAAAAACCTACAGCTAACATCATACTAAATGGTGAAAGACTGAAAATGTTTTCTCTAAAATTAGGAACAAGGCAAGAATGCCTGATTTAGCCACTTCTATTCAACATAGTACTGGAAGTGCTAGCCAGAGCAAATAAGAAAAAATATATATAAAAATCAGAAAAACTAAAATTATCTTTGTTTGCAGATGACATAATCTTATATGTAGAAAGCCCTAAAGATTCTACTCCAAACCATTGGAAGTAATAAATGAATTCAGCAAAATTGTAGGATAAAAAATAAACATGCAAAAAACAGTTGTGTTTCTATATGCTAACAATTAATAACCTGCAAAATAATTTAACAAAACTGTTCCATTTATAATGATATCAAATGAATAAAATACTTATGTACAAATTTAAAGCAAGAAGGTGAAGACTCTTACACTGAAAAGTCTAAAATGTTACTAAAAGAAATTAAAGAAAATACAAATAAATAGAAAGATATCTTTCCATTTCATTGATACACTTAATATTGTCAAGATTTTGATACTACTCAAAGTGGTCTACATATTCATTGCAATCCCTAACAAAATCAAAATCCTTAAGATGTTTTTGCATAAATTACAAAATTCATCCTAAAATTCGTATGGAATCTCAAAGAACCCTAAATGACCAAAACAATCTTGACAAAGAACAAAGTTGAAGGAAGCACATTTCCTAATTTCAGAAGTTACCAAAAAGCTATAGTAATCAAAAGAGTATGGTGCTCGCATAAATACCAACATATAGTCTAATGTAACCGAAGAGAGTTTCCAGAAATAAATCTTCACATATATGATCAAATGAATTTTTACACAAGTGCAAACACCATTCAATGAGGAAAATCAGACTTTCTCAAAAGGTCCTGGAAAAACTTGATATACACATGCAAAACTAAAATTATAAAAATATTAAGTCAAATTTAATCAAAAGACCTAAATGTAAGCTCTAAAACGATAGCCCTCTCAGAAGGAGCATAAATGAAAAGCTTCACAACTATGGATTTGGCAGTAATTTCTTGGATACAACAACAAAAATGTAGACAACAACATGAAAGTGTAAATTGGACTACATTAAAATTTAAAACTTCTGTGCATCAAAGGAAACAATCAATAGGGTGAAAAAACCACCAAGATTGTGAGAGAAAATATTTCCAAATTATATATATGTTAAGAGGTTAATATCTAGAATATAAAGAAGTTCTACAACTCAACAATAGAAAACAGCCTAATTTCAAAAATGGACAAAGGACTTAGGCATTTTTCCAGAGAAGATACAAAAATGGCTAACAAACACATGAGAAGATACTCAACATCACTAATCATTAGTATTAATGCAAGTCAAAACCACAGTAAGATGCCACTGCACACCACTGCATAGTAGAATAGCTTCTATAAATAGAAAAACAGAAAATAACAAATGTTGATGAGGTATGGACAAATTGTAACATTTGTGTACTGCTGGAGTGAATACAAAATGCTGGAGACACTACAGAAAAAAGTTTGGTGGTGCCTCAAAACTTCAAAATATAATTATTTTTAGTGCATATAAATTATATACCTACTCCAGGTATATACTCAAAAAAATTGAAAGCAGGGACTTGGATAGATATTTGTACTTTCATGTTCACAGCAGCATTATTCACAATAGCCAACAGGTGGAAGCAACTCAATTGTTCATAGATAGATGAATGAATAAACCAAATATTCTATCTATAGTGTATATGCCTTAAATAGGAAAGAAATTCTCACATATGCTACAACGTGGATGAACCTTGAAAGACATTATACTGAGTGAAATAAGACCACTACATAATAACTACTGTATGATTTCACTTATATGAAGTACTTAGATTATCAAATTCAGAGACAAAAAGTAGAATGGTAGTTGCCATGGGCTGAGGGGAGGGGAAAATCGGAAGTTACTTTCTAATGGGTATAGAGTTTTATTTGAGGAGGATAAAAAAGTTCTGGAGATAGTTAGTGGTGATGGTTGTACAACAATGTAAATGTACTTAACACCATTGAACTGGGCACTTAAAAATGGTTAAAATGGGCCGGGTGCGGTGGCTGACATCTGTAATCCCAGCACTTTGGGAGACCGAGGTGGGTGGATCAACTGAGGTCAGGAGTCCGAGACCAGCCTGACCAATATGGTGAAACCCCGGCTCTACTAAAAAAAAAAAAAAAATTATATATATGTATATACATATATATATGTATATATATGTATATACAAAAATTAGCCAGGAGTGGTGGCGGGCACCTGTGGTCCCAGCTACTCGCGAGGCTGAGATAAGAGAATTGCTTGAACCCAGGAGGCAGAGGTCGCAGTGAGCCGAGATTCTGCCCCTGCACTCCAGCCTGGGCGACAGAGCGAGACTCTGTCTCAAAAAAAAAAAAAAAAAAAAGAAGGTTAAAATGGTACAAACAAGCAAACAAACAAAAACAAAACTCCTTGTAGGATTCTCAAGTAGCCAGTTTAGGAATCACTACTCTAGAGTTATCTCCCTTGAATTCTCTCTCCTCAGAAATTTAAGAACCTGTAAAATAAGATGGTAAAATAAGATGGCCACTCCCAAGATGAGCAGAAATATGAATCTTCACTGTTTCCCTAATTCCTTGCTAGATATTGACCATTCATTGGTTATTTGGCAAGCAACATTCTCAAACTGTGAATGGTCTTTGCCATAAATGCATATGTGTGGCCTAATGCCAGAAATAGAACCACAGAAGAACCCTGCTCTCTTAAAAATTCTTAAATCTATTCTACAGCATAATGATAGCTAATGTTTATTGAGTGTTCCTATGTTCCATGATCTCTAAAAGTGTTGCAAGCCCATTGTCATTTTTTACTATTCTCAAAGCCAAGCATTTTAAAATCCATATACTATATAGTATAAGTCCTTTTTCTCCCTTTCCACAGTCACTGATGTTGGTGAAAAGTTAGTGATAATCAGTTGGCAAATTTGTCTCAGTTATCTAGGCTGCTTTGTTTCCTGGACTCTGGCATTTGAATCCCAGCTTTGGGTTCTGACCATGATCCCAGTCACTTAGGATTTCTGCCTTTCTATCTCTGGAATCCTGTCTACTTCTGTCTCTGGTCTTAAATTTTCTCAACTTATTTGTTAATAGACTTGCTTAATTAGTCTCCTTCATGATTTTGTCCCCAGCCAGTATCTTAAATCCTCTGCTTACTTTGTTTCTCTCTCTGGAATGTAACTCCTAGTTTTAGTCCTTGAAGTTTCCGGAACTGCATGTAAATTTAAATTTCTTTGCAGGGTGGACGTTCCTGAATAGTGGCAGGTGGAAGTCGGGTTAATAAGGAGATGAGAAAGAGAGGACCTCTTTTGCCACCAGATTCAAATGACGCCACTTGTATTAGAGCCACTTAATGCTCTAAAAGTTACTGATGAGAAGCCTATCTCAACTGAAATGGAAATTGACATTTTATGTCTTTCAGCAGCAGGTCAGAATTGACAGATGCCAATTAGGATTTCCCAGTGAAAACCACTTGCTATTTCCAACTCTACAGATCTTGTTTTTGAAGTGAAACATTCTCTGAAAAAGTAGTGTATGGCTTGGGTCCAAAATTGTCTAGCAAGCACGTCAAAAGCTAAACAATGATTTATCTGCCAATTGAAAAGTATTTTCATTAATGTTAAATATCCTCCTTTTCAAATAAACTAACTTGTATCAACTAGGAAAGCTTCTTACTCTACTCAGCAAATTTTACATCAAATAAATTGGTAAAGACCTGCACAAGATTAAAAAATGTGAAGATAAAATTAGTTTTTGTTTGTTTTTAAATCATCGCCTCATGCATTCTGTCTAATTTAAATAATCCACTAAGAAGTTTACCTAGTACCAAGAACTGTCCCTAGGCCAAATTGTAAAATAGTCAGAAATGTAATTTTGTTTCTGTCTTCCTTCTTTTTGTGGGCTGTTTCCTCCTTTTCAAGTCCCCAACCCCACCTACTCCATTGCTACCTACTATTTACAGTATCATGTCTTTTCACAACTGGCAAAATTAATTCATATTGTTAGCGTTACCACTTACTCAGGAGCAGTACATAAAATTAATATTTGAAAGGGCTCTCCAGGAACTTTAGTTAATTAAAGGAAAGATTTGTTAATGATTTAATTTTAGGTACCAACAAGAAGTCTTCAGGAAAGGAGAGAGTTAAAGAATGAGAAACCTTCTCAAATTCCTCACATCACACCATGCACCAGGCAGCCTAACAACCACAATTTCACTTAATACATACTTGTTTAATATGGGGAATTCCCTAACCGAATTCTTACATTCTTACCTGTTTTGTTGTGATTAGCAAAAAATAAGAAATTTAAAAAAAATGACATCAGGAACTCCTTTACTACCATTCTGCTTGGCTCACAGTAAAAAGTCTCCTCTCCATTTATTCTTTTTAATCTCACCTCCTTGGTAGAAATTATTGTATTCTTTTTCAAGTTAGTCAAGAGGAAGATGGACAGACTAATCCCAAACAGTCTTTGAGTCTTATCAAAACCCTCTCTGTGTGCCACTATACAATTGGAAACTCCAGATCTAAAACTGCGTACATATTTTTTTAAAATAATGCTCATTTGTAAATTTGTACATAAATATAATGGTGTGATTATGGGATCCCTAATCTAAGTATTATTCTTTTTTGATGTTCTGCTCTGAAGGTCTCTTCCAAAACCAGGTAGAATTTAACAAATCGTGATTATTATAAGTGAATATTCCTTTCAACAATGCCCCATTGATACAAGAAGCTTCTATCGATCAACATTGTCTCATTATTTCCTCTTAACAATTCAGAATTGGTTATTCAATTGGAACTGTATTATTTCCCCTAAACCATTGGCTTTCTTGCTTTCATCAAGTTTTTTTCCAATCCTATAATTTACAATTTTGTTGCTATTAGGTCCATGAAAATTGGAAATTTGCAACCATTCTGCGTGTACTAATTATTAACTGTAAGGAGAGAAATAATTTACTTGTGCCAAACCCCATATTCAGACTGCTTACCATGGGAACTTATTTTGGTATTTCATAGGAAGTGGATTACTTCATTTGGAAATATGTATTAGAAATCATGTAGTGATTAGACTGGCAAATATTTTCATCCTATGTCTTCTTCATAATTATTTTTCTCTAGGGTAGGTAGCTACAATTCCTTTTTTATTTAAATATCTTTTTTATTTTATCAAATTCTTTAGGGCATTAAAAAGAACCACAGATTTAACATAACATAACAGAATCTGATTAGAATACGGTCCAGTGATGCCAGAAGATTTAGAGAAAGTCTAGTTAGAGAACATAATTAAACCACATGGAAATGCTTGTTTCCTTTGACAGAAATTTTAATTGTGTCAATAAAAAGCAAAGAAGAACTTCTTTAGTTCAGGATATTTTTGGCATAATTGAATACACATTTTGATTTCTCCTAAGTCACATAATATTTTCCCATAAATCACTTTATTACTATGCTCTTTGTTTTGTGATAATACTTCTGGTAACCAATAAAACTGTCAATGCCATTTATTTTCTTTACGTATTTCTAGATCTCAATTGATGCCAAATTTTCTAAGTGACAGGAAAAAAAATGTTGTGAATGAGAACTAATCAATTCCATAGCACCCACCCACCAACACAGAGTGCAAGCCATTCTTTCTATAATGTCCTCCTATAATACCTTTAAAATACTTTAAAATACCATGGCCTACTCTTTTTCTTCTTGAAACTTCATTATCTAGTCTTCATCTGATATGCTGTAAAATTGTTGTTCCCAAGTAACAGTTTATTATTTGACCAGTGCCATTCCAGACAAATGAGAAAAATAAAAACAACATTGAATTTTTCATAACACTAAATGTATTACATTTTTACATAGGTAAACGTGTGTCATGGGAGTTCGTTACATAGATTATTTCATCACCCAGGTATTAAGCCTAGTATCCTTTAGTTATTTTTGCTGATCCTCTCCCTCTTCCCACCCTCCACCCTCCAGCAGGCCGCAGTATGTATTACGTTTTTTAATAGACTGCCTTATATTCTAAAATTGTGTTAGTTTTATGTGTGTGAAATTATCCTAAAAGTGAACTAAAATTTTAATGGTTACAACAAGCAAAATAAAAAGCTGGCAACCTTATGTTGGTCCCTAAAATTGGGGAGATATTTTACTGGTCCATGACATCCATGAATCTCAAAACCACTTCAGAAAATTACATTTATATGGTTTTTGAGAATGTGATTTTATTTCGTTCCTTAGGACTCCTGAGGATAGTGATAATGTTTTTATCACTTATTTCTTTTTACCTAACCCCTAATGTCCAAATACATAATTAGTTTTTACCCACTCAGACTTTGAAGGCACACATAATAATATTTAACATTTAAATTTTGTTTAGTAAGATTCCAAATCTTTTTCAATCATTATAAAGTCCAAATCTCTTGCAATCATTTTTCAATTGGTATATATATATATACCATTACATTATATATACATTATATATATACCATATACAATTGGTATATATATATATATATATATATATATATATATATATATATATATATATTCATATATATATGTATGTGAAATACCTAGGAATACAACTACCCAAGGAAGTGAAAGATCTCTATAAGGAGAATGACAAAAGACAGCTGAAAAGAAAAAAAGAAAAAAAACAGAGATGACACAAATAAATGAAAAAAAACATCTCATGCTTACAGATTGGATGCATCAATATCGTTAAAATGGCATACTGCCCAAAGCAATTTACAGATTCAACAATATTCTTATCAAACTAACATTGCCACTCTTTAGAGAATTAGAAAAAAAAGTTCTAAAATTCATATAGAACCAAAAAAGAAACTGAAGAGCTAAAGAAATCCTAAGCAAGAAAGAACAAAGCCAGAGGCATCACACTACCTAACTTCAAATTATATTATAAGGCTATAGTAACCAAAACATCATGGTACTAGCACAAAACTAGGCACATAGACCAATGGAACAGAATAGTAAACTCAGAAATAAAGCCTCATACTTACAAACATCTGATCTTTGACAAGGCCAACAAAAACAAGCAATGGGGAAAGGATTCTCAATTCAATAAATGGTGCTGGGATATAGCTGGATAGCCATATGCAGAAGATTGAAACTGGACCCTTGCCTTTAAACATATATAAAAATTAAGTCAATGTGATTTGAAGACTTAAATGTAAGACCTCTAAGTATGAGAATCCTAGAAGTAAACCTAGGAACCCTTCTTGACATCAGCCTTAGTGATGAACTTTTGGCTAAGTTCTTAAAAGCAATTGCAGAAAACAAAACTTGACAAGTACGACCTAATTAAACTAAAGAGTTCCTTCACAGAAAAAAAAACTATCAATAGAGTAAATAGAAAACTCACTGAATGAAAGAAAATATTCACGAACTGCATCCTACAAAGGTCTAATATCCAGGATCTATAAGGAACTCCAACAAATCAATAGGCAAAAACAAATAACCCCATTAAAAATGGGCAAAGGACATAAACAAACACTTTTCAAAAGAAGACATACATGTGGCCAACAAACATGAAAAGACAAATACAAAATACAATGAAATACCATCTCACACCAGTTAGAATGGCTATTATTAAAAATTCAAAAAACAACAGATGCTGGTGAAGCTACAGAGAAAAGGGAGTGCTTATACACTGCTGGTGGGAATAAAAATTAGTTTAGCCACTGTGGAAAGCAGTTTGGAGATTTCTCAAGGAACTTAAAACAATTACCATTTGACCCAGCAATCCTATTACTGGGTATATACCCAAAGGAAAATAGATCATCATACCAAAAAGACACATGCACTTGTATTTTTATTCCTGCAGTATTCATGATAGCAAAGACATGGAATCAACCTAGGTGGATTGGATAAAGAAAGTGTGGTACATATGCATCATGGAATAGTATGCAGTCATAAAAAAAACTGAAACCATGTCCTTTGCAACAACACGGATGGAACTAGAGACCGTAATCCTAAGGAAATTAATGCAGAAACTGAAAACCAAATACTGCATGTTTTTACTTGTAAGTGATAGCTAAGCATGGAACACCCACGGACATAAACATAGGAACAATAGACATTGCAGATTCCTAGAGGGAGGAGGGGAGGAATGGATTTAAAACTATCTATTGGTTACTATGCTCAATACCTGAGTGCAACATACCCATGAAACAAATCCATACGTGTACCTTCTATATCTATAATAAAAGATAAAAATATTTAAAATTCAAATATGTAGATATAATTTTTTAAAAAGTATTTTGAGGTAGTTCCAAAAAGCAACAGTAGATGGTGCTAGTGATTTTCTAACAAAATAATTTTCGCCCCTAAATTTACTAAAAAACGAAAGGATAAATGAATGAGTCAAAGCTTGAACAAATGTCCAAAGTTTTAGGATTTTAAAAGGAGTTAAGGTTAAAAGACTAATTTGTTAAAACATCGACATTTCTCACTTGAAGTGCAACAAACTATACCATATCAAATCTCTTTTCTCTGACTTCAGGGTTGTTTTATACATGGAAATGCCAGGAAAATACTTTTCAGAGAAAACATGGATCTAAATGAACACTCCTGACTCTTTATAGAGAAAAGAGTCCTTAGAATATTGCTCAAGTAACTCCCAAAAGGATACTTTGTGGCATATTGAAAAGGGTACATTCAAATCATTAGCATTGCTCTGAATAGAAGAAATAACACATGTGGGTCACAAACCTTGGCAGTTTTGTGTTGCCCTGAGAAATAAACAAGTCATTTTTTATGTTAAATTTCTAACAAAAAGTTAGCCTGTTTATTATATTGTTATTCCTAGGAACAAACTTTAAAAATTGTGAGATTTACATGGAAATGAACCATGTGAGAAAAAAAAAAAAAACAACCTTTGAGATTTAGAATGCACTTAGTTTGTGTGATAATGTAATAATAGAAGTGAAGTGATTGTGCTTCTGAAGATATTTTTGGCAGAGATATATTATAATAAGGTCATAAGTTATAACTAGTCTCATTCTTCCCACTTTATTTTTATTCTTATTCTTGGAAACCGAATTTCCCAAAGCAGTTCTAAAATTATACACATATGGTCCTAGGGACATCTGAGTTGGACCAGACTGGAGGAAGTGGAGAGACACTATATGGCTTATTATTTTGTTCCAGTGTTTGTCAGCATTTAAATGTTAAACTGTTTTTGTCCTCCCTAGAAAGAACTAAAATAACGTGGCTTCATGGAAGCAGTAGAAGGCGAATCATGTCAAAATAATCTAGTGAAGCCTTTAAAAAGCCAATGTTTAAAGCATATACCTTTTAAAATAATCATAGCCCATCAAAATCCTGTCCGTGTCTCAATAAGGTACACACACAAAATTATAAGTAGATTCGTTCCTATCTGCAAATATATACTCATTTCGAGAAGAAAAATGAGAGAATGAGTTTATACAGTTTATTAAAACCAACTAATTGGGAGGCCGAGGCGGGCGGATCACGAGGTCAGAAGATCGAGACCATCCTGGCTAACACGGTGAAACCCCGTCTCTACTAAAAATACAAAAAATTAGCCGGGCCTAGTGGCGGGCGCCTGTAGTCTCAGCCACTAGGGAGGCTGAGGCAGGAGAATGGTGTGAACCCGGGAGGCGGAGCTTGCAGTGAGCCGAGATCACACCACTGCACTCCAGCCTGGGCGACAAAGCTAGACTCCGTCTCAAAAAAAAAAAAAAAAAATCAACTAGTTACTCCTCTGCCAAAAACCAGTTGCTTTGTAAATGCCCAATGGCCTCACCTTGCCTGCTGCCTATACAGAGCCGATTTACCAAGACAGGGGATTGCAATACAGAAAGAGTAACTCATGCAGAGCTGGCTGTGTGGCAGACCAGTTTTATTATTACTCGTATCAGTCTCGCAAGAATTTGGGGACCAGAGATTTTAAGGATAACTTGGCGGGTAGGGGGCCAGTGAATCAGGAGTGCTGATTGGTTGGGTCAGAGATGAAATCATAGGGAGTGGAAGCTATCCTCTTATCCTGAATCAGTTCCTGGGTTGGGGCCACAAGACCCAGGTGAGCCAGTTTATCGATCTGCGTGGTACCAGCTGATCCATTGTGTGTAGAGGCTGCAAAATATCTCAAGCCCTGATCTTAGGTTTTACAATAGTGATATTATCCCCAGAAGAAATCTGGGGGAGGAGGATTAGAATCTTGTAGCCTCCAGTTGCATGATTGCTAAACCATAATTTCTAATCTTGTGGCTAATTTGTTAGTCCTGCAAAGGCAGTCTAGTCCCCAGCCAGGAAAAGGGTTTGTTTTGTGAAAGGGCTCTTATAGTCTTTGTATGAAAGCTAAACTATAAACTAAGTTCTTCCCAAAGTTAGTTTGATTATGCCTAGGAATGAACAAAGATAGCTTGGAGGTTAGAAGCAAGACGGAGTGGGTTAGGTCAGACCTCTTCCACTGTAATAATTTTCTCAGTTATAATCTTTGCAAAGACGGTTTCAGTTTCACTGATTCAATTTTTTAATCAAACAAGTTTAGGCACTCGAAGATATTTAGACTCTGTAGCTCACCTTATTTTGTGAGAAATCACTAAAGCTTTTTCACATAATAAGAGGAGCCATAAGGACATAATTTGTCAGCACCTATGAGACCCTAACACTTTCTTTTATACCAGTAAACAGAAGCATTAAACTCTGTAAAACTGGGGAGAATGCCATCTTTTCTTCCTAAGCATTTTGAATTATTTGGAAAATGTAAGCTCTGTTCTCAGACACTTTTGTGAATAATCCACTGAGCCCATATGATAAGCATCAGGTGTTTTAGAGGCGTTGCATATCATTTATTTCAGTTCACCATTATAGAAACCACTATAATGATTTAATTAGAATACAGGGTTTTTTTGATCTTGTGTTCCTCTAACTCCTTTACTTAAAACCTTTGGTTCCAGACCAATTCTTGAAATTGCCCTGAATTATAAAATGTAATGGAGTGAAGTATCTATACAATTCTTCCTGTTATTAGAAACAGTGTAATATTTCATGCGAGTGTTCTATCAGAATTTTTACAAACATGCACAACTGACTATTCTGTTTAAAGTGGTAAAGCCTCATTTATTTCATAGTATTATGAATCTGTTTATTCTCTGAAAGTTCACAATGAAAATGTAACCCAGAGGGAATAAGATTTAGGCCAATTGCTATCATGTGGAGCTTAGTGCAGACGCTATACTGTTTTGGCCAGGTGTTAAGAACTGTGAAAATTGTCAGCCTTCAGTAGATAATTATTTACTTTAAGTGTTAAACATAATAATAGTAAGAATTTACATTTCTGGCCTGCGCATTTTTAAACAAAAAAAAATAGCTGAATGTCGTTGTTTTAACATGAACATCACATAGGAAGCACATTCTCATTAAATATTATCATTACACTATTAATGTGAAAATTTTTGAGAAGGGGAGGTGGAGAAAGAAGTAAAAAGCACATTTTTACCTGGACTCATTTTGATAAGCCTTTCCATTTAATATAGCACGTTAAACTTATTTCTTTACTTTTATTTTTAAATATAGATAATAATTGCTTATACTATGGGGACCCTCATTAAAGAAACAGAGGGAATAAATATATTGGGGTACCTACTGTATGCCACTCTTGTCAATAGCTGCTTTATACCTATTATCTAATTTATAGATATTTACGGGTGTTATTAGTGGAAAACCCCCTGAAAGAGTTTGAGATTATTGATTTTTATGTTTGTATTTTAAAAATTTTGAATTTTAAATTTTGTGGGTACATATATATTTATGAGGTACATGAGATTTTTTGTTTGTTTCTTTGTTTTGAGACGGAGTCTCACTCCAACACCCAGGCTGGAGTGCAGTGGCGCGATCTCGTCTGGCTGCAATCTCCGCCTCCTGGGTTCAAGCGATTCTCCTGCCTCAGCCTCCGGAGTAGCTGGGACTACGTGCGCGTGCCACCACGCCCGGCTAATTTTTGTATTTTTAGTAGATACATGGCTTCACCGTGTTAGCCAGGATAGTCTCAATCTCCTGACCTCGTGATCCACCCACCTCATCCTCCCAAAGTGTTGGGATTACAGGCGTGAGCCACCGCGCACTGCTGTACATGAGATGTTTTGATACTGTATGTTTGTGTTTTAAACAAGAACCTCAAATACTAATAGGATATGGGAGAAGTGGAATCTATAAAAAAACAAGTATATCCAAATAGCTAATCCGGAGTTTGAAATAGCTGTAGTTTAAGATCAGAAAATAACCCCTGCGGTGAATTATAGGTTTTATATATGTCAAATCTAAAAGGTACATCTTCTGCTTTTCCAAGACTTTGAAGAGGTAGGCATGCTTAGTATAGACTGGATATTTTCTTGGATATTAATTATTTACACATGAGTGTCTGTCCTTCATGGAAAGAAATCTTTGCCATCATCAACCAGTGTTATAAAATCTTATGACAACACTGTAGCAAACAATACTCTCTCTTACTCTCTCTGAAATGCAAAACAGAATTTAACCAAAGCAAATGGTGTTAAAGAAAAATACCACAATGTCTTTAATGAAAATGCTGTTGAGCTGGGTTTAATTGGTGAAAGGGGATAGAAAAAATAAAGACTTTATTTTTGTTCTTAGGGGAACATTTTACATAAGGGCCATTTTAATGTAGATTATAAGTTTAAACTGGTTCAATGAGTCTAAGTAAAACAGAAATACATAAAATTCAAAATTTCATTTTGGCCTCCGTGTTCCTATGCACACTTGGGCATATAGTTAAACATAGGTGGAGATGACAAGAAATAACATTCTCATGTAGTCGAGTCACAATTTAGATACCACATTAGTTATGAAATTATGTCTCATCCTTTCTTAACCATAAGACAATAAGTCCTAAGGGCATTGTTTATTGAACTAAAGCTGATGCTGGGCAGAGCCTCTCATTTTGAAATTGAAATAACAAGTAGAGAATGTAACAATTGTGACGGATACCTGGTTTATGCCCCGGTTAAATGTTTTACTAGAAAAGCCAGGGCTGGCCCAGTATGTGCCAGCCCTACTCCTAACAAAGGAGTAATGGCAGGTGCCTTTGACAGAAAATAGCATTACAAAAGCAAAATTTGTAACACCCCTTATTTGTATAAATTCTTGGCTCCAGCCTGTAGTAGGAAGGGCAGCACTGAGATGTTTTAGGGCATGAGAGAGTAATGGAAAGTAAAAACCAACAGAGGCAAGTGTCATTTCTATGAACTATAAGCTCCTCAAGGGCAAGGGCCATTCCTAATTTGTGGTCTGTAGCTCCATTTTGCCTAACACAGTAATCTGCGCTAAGTGTGTGTGCAATAAACATATGTTGACGAAAATATCGGCTCTGAAGGGTTAAGATGACTTAAAACACAATGAGAAGCAGTTGGATGATCATGAACCTTGAGAGAATGGACAATAACCCTTTCACTGAGTTAAGTGACCTAATATTTCGATATGTAAGTGCTAGAGATCCTTCAAGGATGCTGCCCTCTAGGAGTCAGCCTCCTCAAATAATAACACATGTTACATAAATCCAACCAAACATTTATTCCAGCCCTCTAAGCAGATTATCTGTAATTAGGCAGTGTCTTAGGTTTAACAACTTCAAAGAGAATTATCAGAGCAAGGGTAATTCTTAGAAAAATTTCAGAAAACTAAAAGCCTATACTCTACTCTTTTAGTAAGAAAAATGTCAACATTGTATTTATTTTTAATAAATGATAAATATCACAGCAAAAACAATGTTCTAGAAACTACTACTCATGCTGCATAGTGAGGTCAAAACCTAGGTAAATGAAACAAATGGAAAGAGTGTGAGCTCTAATTCCCTTCTTCAAACATCTAATCATCAATGCTGTAAATCCATTTCATCTCTGTCAATTGAGCAGAGGAATTAGAGGGATTTTTCACATAAGGCTTATTAGAAATAGCCAAATTTGAACCAAATTTTGCAAGACGTCGATCCTTATTGAAGATGGCCCATTACCATTATAAAATATTTGTCATAAAGATTGTATGAGATGGTAATAGATTATGGTGTTACTTTAGTATGTGATATGAAAATTCTAATAATCAAAGAGTCTTCTTTAATAGAAAAATACAAAAATAACACTTATAAATCAAGGAAAGCTCACATGAGCAAAACTTGATATGTGTGGGAAACAGAAATATATCATGAGGAAAGAATAGCTGTAGGAGAAAATGCCATTCTTGGAAAGTAAGCAGCACCTGAGTTTAAAAGGTCTTGCTGCATTGTAGATATTAGGGAAAAGTCTGATGTTCATTTTTAATGATAAAAATGAGACTTTAAAAAAGCTATTATATAAGAATGATATTATTTTAAAGTCCTAGTGTGCCACAAAATAATCAATTATGCACAATCTTTTTCTAAAGCTGATTTTACAGGACATCTCATAAAGAAAGAAGACTTCTTTGCAAAGGACACTGCAGGAAAATAAATATTTCATCTTCTAAATATACAGAAAGCCATCTTCTCCTTTCTTTTCTACACCTGAGGAAGAGGTGTTTCCCCTTTCAGTCTTTTTTTGACTTGTGCTCTTTAGCCCAGTTTTGCAGTTTGGCTATGATTCCACTTCATTTGCTTACATTCTTTCCATGCAACTGAAACTACACTCTAAGCAGGGTTCATAACCAGGCATCAGCCTACAGCAATGGAGGATTCTCAGAATGCACATCAGAAAAAAATTAAATCTCGATTTTCACTAACCTAACTAAAATTTGACATTATCTTATATTATGATAATAGACAACAAACCGCAATAGGATTAGCAGTACCTGTGACTGTCAACAATAGAAATCACAGATATTTTTATATCACATAACTGTCATTGCAGATGTCTTAAAATGTTATTTACATACATCAGAACTTTAGAATTATGATAGTTATTAGATTGTACGTGATTTTAGTCTTCCTGTCTACAGAAGCTTATGTCACATAGACAGCTAACTATTCAGCAACTTTGCATCTACTTGTTGTTCAGTCACCAAACAATGAAGTCATGTGTTATCACATTGGTTACCCAGGCATAAAAGTTGCTTTCTGATATTCTCTACCTATAATTGATCATTGATCAATACATGTCAGGAGGTGATTCAAAGACCACTCCAGAGTTTAATGTTTTTACTAAATATATTTATTCAAGTAACAATGATCTTGACACTGACATGTCTTTTGAAAAGTAAAGCCTAATTTTAAATTTTCCATATTGTATTTTATTTTTTTATTTTAGTTTTTAATTGATGAGTAAAATTGTATGTATTTTTATGTAGAACATAATGTTTTATGTATATATGCAGTGTGGAGTGACTAAATCTAGCTAGTTAACATATGTACTACCTCACATAGTTATCATTTTTGTGATGAGAACACTTAAGATCTGCTCTTAGCATTTTTCAAGAATATTTTTATTAACTATAGTTATCATGGTGTACAATTTCTTGAACTTATTCCTTCTGAGATTTTTTATCCTTTAGCTAACATCTCCACAACACCCCCCTTCAAATACTCCAGCCCATCATAGCCACCACTCTATAATTCTAAGATCTAATATTTTTGTTCCACATATGAGTGAGATCATACAGTATTTGCATTTCTGTACTTGTCCTCCGGGTTCATTCATGTTGTCAGAAAAGGCAAGATTTTCTTCTTTTATAGCTGAATAGTATTCCATTGTGTATTTATGCCACATTTTCTTTATCCATTCATTCATTGATAGACATTGTGAATAATGCTGCAATGAACATGAGAGTGCAGATATCTAATTGGCATACTGATTTCATTTCCTTTTGATATATACCCAGTAATAAGATTGCAAGATTATA
The DNA here is from genome assembly GCF_000001405.40 of Homo sapiens. Classification (NCBI taxonomy): domain Eukaryota; kingdom Metazoa; phylum Chordata; class Mammalia; order Primates; family Hominidae; genus Homo; species Homo sapiens. Next base: position 85,537,275 of record NC_000023.11, on the reverse strand, counting down.
TGATAGCTCTATTTTTAGTTTTTTGAGGAACCTTTATACTGTTTTCCTTAAGGACTGTATTGACTAATATTCCCACCAACAGTTTTCAAATGCTCCCTTTTCTCCACCTCTTCGTCAACATTTATCTTTTGTCTTTTTCACAATGGCCATTCTAACAGGTGTGAGGTGATATCTCCTTGTGGATTTAAATTGCATTTCCCTCATGATCAGTGATGTTCAGCATTTCTTCATATACCTCTTGGAATTTGTATGTCTTCTTTTGAGAAATATCTATTCAGGTCCTTTGCCCATTTTAAAACTGGATTGTTTTCTTGCTAGTGAATTCTTTAAGTTCTTTATATAATTCGTATATTAACTCCTTATCAGAGGGATGGTTAGCAAATATATTCTCCTATTCTATAGATTGTCTTTCTATTTTATTAACTGCTTTCTTGGCCTTGTAGAGCTTTTTAGTTTGATGTTGTTTAACGTGTTTATTTTTGTTTTTATTTCCTGTGCTTTCGGTGTTATATCCAAAAAATCATTAACATGACTAATGTCATATAGTTTTTCTCCTATATTTTCTTCTAGAAGTTTTATAATTTTGGCTTTTAGATTTTAGTATTTAATCCATTTTGAGTTCATTTTTGTACATGAGGTAAGATAAGGGTCTAGTTTCATTCTCCTACATGTGGATATCCAGTTGTTCCAACAGCATTTATTAAAGAGACTGTTCTTTCCCCAATGTGTGTTCTTGACACCTTTGTGGAAAATCAGATGGCTGTAAATGTGTAGATTTATTTCTGAGTTCTCTATTCTGCTCCAGTGGTCTCTGTATCAGTTCCTATGCCAGTATCATGCTGTTTTTGTTACTATAGCTTTGTAGCATATTTTGAAGTAATGTAGTGTGACAACTCTTGTTTTTTTTTGTTCAAGATTGCTGTGGGTATTCAGGGTCTTTTGTGGTTCCATATGAAGTTTAGGATGTTTTATTTCTATGAAGAATATCCTTCATGTTTTCATAGCGATTGCATCAAATTTGTAGATTGCTTGGATAGTATGGACATTTTAACAATATTGACTCCTCCAATCCATGAATGTGGGATGTCTTTCCATTTATTAATGTCTTCAATTTCTTTTGTCAATGTTTTATAGTTTTCAGTGTAGAGATGTTTCACTTCCTTGGTTAAGTTTCTTCCTAAGTATGTTTTCATAGATATTATAAATGGGATTGTTTTATTGATTTCTTTTTGAGGTAGTTTATTATCAGTGTATAGAAATGTTACTGATTTTTGTATGTTGATTTTGTATCTTGCAACTGGAATCCTTTTATTAGTTCTAACAGCTTTTTGGTGAATTCTTCAGGGTTTTCTATATATAAGATCATGTCACCTGTAGTTTAACTTCTTCCGTTCCAATTTGGATGTCCTTTATTTCTTTGTCTTGATTAATAGCTCTGGCTTGGACTTCCAATACTCTGTTGCATAGACATGGCAAGAGTGAGTATCCTTTTCTTATTTTGGATCTTAAAGAAAAAGCTTTGAACTGTTCCCATTAGGTATGATGTTAGCTGTAGGTTTGTCACACATGGCCTTTATTTTGTTGCAGAATATTTATATTTAATTTTTGCAGGTTTCTATTATGAAAGGATGTTGAATTTTGTCAAATGCTTTTTCCGTATCAATTGCAATGAGCATATGGTTTTTGTCCTTTATTCAATTAATGTGATGTATTGTATTTATTGGTTTGCACATGTGGAGCCATCTTTTCATCCCAGGAAGGAATATCATTGGATCATGGTGAATGATCTCTTTAATGTGCTGTTGAATTTTGCTTGCTAGTGTTTTGTTGAGGATTTTTGCCTCTATTTTTATCAGGGATATTGCTCTGTAGTTTTCTTTGTTTTTCTTTCTTTGCTTTGCTTTCTTTTCTTTTCTTTTCTTTTCTTTTCTTTTCTTTTCTTTTCTTTTCTTTTCTTTTCTTTTCTTTTCTTTTCTTTTCTTTTCTTTTTGTACTGTCCTGTTTGGCTTTCATATCAGGGCAATGGTAGTCTTTTTATTTATTTATTTATTATTATTATTATACTTTAAGTTTTAGGGTACATGTGCACAATGTGGAGGTTAGTTACATATTTATACATGTGCCATGCTGGTGCACTGCACCCACTAACTCGTCATCTAGCATTAGGTATATCTCCCAATGCTATCCCTCCCCCCTCCCCCCACCCCACAACAGTCCCCAGAGTGTGATGTTCCCCTTCCTGTGTCCATGTGTTCTCATTGTTCAATTCCCACCTATGAGTGAGAATATGCGGTGTTTCATTTTTTGTTCCTGTGATAGTTTACTGAGAATGATGATTTCCAATTTCATCCATGTCCCTACAAAGGACATGAACTCATCATTTTTTTATGGCTGCATAGTATTCCATGGTGTATATGTGCCACATTTTCTTAATCCAGTCTATCATTGTTGGACATTTGGGTTGGTTCCAAGTTTTTGCTATTGTGAATAATGCCACAATAAACCTACGTGTGCATGTGTCTTTATAGCAGCATGATTTATAGTCCTTTGGGTATACACCCAGTAATGGGATGGCTGGGTCAAATGATATTTCTAGTTTTAGATCCCTGAAGAATGGCCACACTGATTTCCACAATGGTTGAACTAGTTTACAGTCCCACCAACAGTGTAAAAGTGTTCCAATTTCTCCACATCCTCTCCAGCACCTGTTGTTTCCTGACTTTTTAATGATTGCCATTCTAACTGGTGTGAAATGGTATCTCATTGTGGTTTTGATTTGCATTTCTCTGATGGCCAGTGATGGTGAGCATTTTTTCATGTGTTTTTTGGCTGCATAAATGTCTTCTTTTGAGAAGTGTCTGTTCATGTCCTTTGCCCACTTTTTGATGGGGTTTTATGTTTTTTTCTTGTAAATTTGTTTGAGTTCATTGTAGATTCTGGATATTAGCCCTTTGTCAGATGAGTAGGTTGTGAAAATTTTCTCCCATTTTGTAGGTTGCCTGCTCACTCTGATGGTAGTTTCTTTTGCTGTGCAGGAGCTCTTTAGTTTAATTAGATCCCATTTGTCAATTTTGTCTTTTGTTGCCATTGCTTTTGGTGTTTTAGACATGAAGTCCTTGCCCAAGCCTATGTCCTGAATGGTAATGCCTAGGTTTTCTTCTAGGGTTTTTATGGTTTTAGGTCTAACGTTTAAGTCTTTAATCCATCTTGAATTGATTTTTGTATAAGGTGTAAGGAAGGGATCCAGTTTCAGCTTTCTACATATGGCTAGCCAGTTTTCCCAGCACCATTTATTAAATAGGGAATCCTTTCCCCATTGCTTGTTTTTCTCAGGTTTGTCAAAGATCAGATAGTTGTAGATACGTGGCGTTATTTCTGAGGGCTCTGTTCTGTTCCATTGATCTATATCTCTGTTTTTGTACCAGTACCATGCTGTTTTGGTTACTGTAGCCTTGTAGTATAGTTTGAAGTCAGGTAGCGTGATGCCTCCAGCTTTGTTCTTTTGGCTTAGGATTGACTTGGCGATGCGGGCTCTTTTTTGGTTCCCTATGAACTTTAAAGTAGTTTTTTCCAATTCTGTGAAGAAAGTCATTGGTAGCTTGTTGGGGATGGCATTGAATCTGTAAATTACCTTGGGCAGTATGGCCATTTTCATGATATTGATTCTTCCTACCCATGAGCAAGGAATGTTCTTCCATTTGTTTGTATCCTCTTTTATTTCCTTGAGCAGTGGTTTGTAGTTCTCCTTGAAGAGGTCCTTGACATCCCTTGTAAGTTTGATTCCTAGGTATTTTATTCTCTTTGAAGCAATTGTGAATGGGAGTTCACTCATGATTTGGCTCTCTGTTTGTCTGTTGTTGGTGTATAAGAATGCTTGTGATTTCTGTACATTGATTTTGTATCCTGAGACTTTGCTGAAGTTGCTTATCAGCTTAAGGAGATTTTGGGCTGAGACAATGGGGTTTTCTAGATATACAATCATGTCATCTGCAAACAGGGACAATTTGACTTCCTCTTTTCCTAATTGAATACCTTTTATTTCCTTCTCCTGCCTAATTGCCCTGGCCAGAACTTCCAACACTATGTTGAATAGGAATGGTGAGAGAGGGCATCCCTGTCTTGTGCCAGTTTTCAAAGGGAATGCTTCCGGTTTTTGCCCATTCAGTATGATATTGGCTGTGGGTTTGTCATAGATAGCTCTTATTATTTTGAGATACGTCCCATCAATACCTAATTTATTGAGAGTTTTTAGCATGAAGTGTTGTTGAATTTTGTCAAAGGCCTTTTCTGCATCTATTGAGATAATCATTTGGTTTTGGTCTTTGGTTCTGTTTATATGCTGGATTACATTTATTGATTTGCGTATATTGAACCAGCCTTGCATCCCAGGGATGAAGCCCACTTGATCATGGTGGATAAGCTTTTTGATGTACTGCTGGATTTGGTTTGCCAGTATTTTATTGAGGATTTTTGCATCAATATTCATCAAGGATATTGGTCTAAAACTCTTTTTTGTTGTGTCTCTGCCCAGCTTTGTTATCAGGATGATGCTGGCCTCATAAAATGAGTTAGGGAGGATTCCCTCTTTTTCTATTGATTGCAATAGTTTCAGAAGGAATGGTACCAGTTCCTCCTTGTACCTCTGTTAGAATTCGGCTGTGAATCCATCTGGTCCTGGACTCTCTTTGGTTGGTAAGCTATTGATTATTGCCACAATTTCAGCTCCTGTTATTGGTCTATTCAGAGATTCAACTTCTTCCTGGTTTAGTCTTGGGAGAGTGTATGTGTTGAGGAATTTATCCATTGCTTCTAGATTTTCTAGTTTATTTGCGTAGAGGTGTTTGTAGTATTCTCTGATGGTAGTTTGTATTTCTGGGGGATCGGTGGTGATATCCCCTTTATCATTTTTTATTGCATCTATTTGATTCTTCTCTCTTTTTTTCTTTATTAGTCTTGCTAGTGGTCTATCAATTTTGTTGATCCTTTCAAAAAACCAGCTCCTGGATTCATTAATTTTTTGAAGGGTTTTTTGTGTCTCTATTTCCTTCAGTTCTGCTCTGATTTTAGTTATTTCTTGCCTTCTGCTAGCTTTTGAAAGTGTTTGCTCTTGCTTTTCTAGTTCTTTTAATTGTGATGTTAGGGTGTCAATTTTGGATCTTTCCTGTTTTCTCTTGTGGGCATTTAGTGCTATAAATTTCCCTCTACCCACTGCTTTGAATGTGTCCCACAGATTCTGGTATGTTGTGTCTTTGTTCTCATTGGTTTCAAAGAACATCTTTATTTCTGCCTTCATTTTGTTATGTACCCAGCAGTCATTCAGGAACAGGTTGTTCAGTTTCCATGTAGTTGAGCGGTTTTGAGTGAGATTCTTAATCCTGAGTTCTAGTTTGATTACACTGTGGTCTGAGAGATAGTTTGTTATAATTTCTGTTCTTTTACATTTGCTGAGGAGAGCTTTACTTCCAAGTATGTGGTCGATTTTGGAATAGGTGTGGTGTGGTGCTGAAAAAAATGTATATTCTGTTGATTTGGGGTGGAGAGTTCTGTAGATGTCTATTAGGTCTGCTTGGTGCAGAGCTGAGTTCAATTCCTGGGTATCCTTGTTGACTTTCTGTCTCGTTGATCTGTCTAATGTTGACAGTGGGGTGTTAAAGTCTCCCATTATTAATGTGTGGGAGTCTAAGTCTCTTTGTAGGTTACTCAGGACTTGCTTTATGAATCTGGGTGCTCCTGTATTGGGTGCATATATATTTAGGATAGTTAGCTCTTCTTGTTGAATTGATCCCTTTACCATTAAGTAATGGCCTTCTTTGTCTCTTTTGGTCTTTGTTGGTTTAAAGTCTGTTTTATCAGAGACTAGGATTGCAACCCCTGCCTTTTTTTGTTTTCCATTTGCTTGGTAGATCTTCCTCCATCCTTTTGTTTTGAGCCTATGTGTGTCTCTGCCCATGAGATGGGTTTCTTGAATACAGCACACTGATGGGTGTTGACTCTTTATCCAATTTGCCAGTCTGTGTCTTTTAATTGGAGCATTTAGTCCATTTACATTTAAAGTTAATATTGTTATGTGTGAATTTGATCCTGTCATTATGATGTTAGCTGGTGATTTTGCTCGTTAGTTGATGCAGTTTCTTCCTAGTCTCGATGATCTTTACATTTTGGCATGATTTTGCAGTGGCTGGTACTGGTTGTTCCTTTCTATGTTTAGCGCTTCCTTCAGGAGCTCTTTTAGGGCAGGCCTGGTGGTGACAAAATCTCTCAACATTTGCTTGTCTGTAAAGTATTTTATTTCTCCTTCACTTATGAAGCTTAGTTTGGCTGGATATGAAATTCTGGCTTGAAAATTCTTTTCTTTAAGAAAGTTGAATATTGGCCCCCACTCTCTTCTGGCGTGTAGAGTTTCTGCCGAAAGATCTGCTGTTAGTCTGATCGGCTTCCCTTTGAGGGTAACCCGACCTTTCTCTCTGGCTGCCCTTAACATTTTTTCCTTCATTTCAACTTTGGTGAATCTGACAATTATGTGTCTTGGAGTTGCTCTTCTCGAGGAGTATCTTTGTGGTGTTCTCTGTATTTCCTGAATCTGAATGTTGGCCTGCCTTGCTAGGTTGGGGAAGTTCTCCTGGATAATGTCCTGCAGAGTGTTTTCCTACTTGGTTCCATTCTCCCTGTCACTTTCAGGTACAGCAATCAGACGTAGATTTGGTCTTTTCACATAGTCCCATATTTCTTGGAGGCTTTGCTCATTTCTTTTTATTCTTTTTTCTCTAAACTTCCCTTCTCACTTCATTTCATTCATTTCATCTTCCATCGCTGATACCCTTTCTTCCAGTTGATTGCATCAGCTCCTGAGGCTTCTGCATTCTTCACGTAGTTCTTGAGCCTTGGTTTTCAGCTCCATCAGCTCCTTTAAGCACTTCTCTGTATTGGTTATTGTAGTTATACATTCTTCTAAATTTTTTTCAAAGTTTTCAACTTCTTTGCCTTTGGTTTGAATGTCCTCCAGTAGCTCGGAGTAATTTGATCGTCTGAAGCCTTCTCTCCGCTCGTCAAAGTCATTCTCCATCCAGCTTTGTTCCGTTGCTGGTGAGGAACTGCGTTCCTTTGGAGGAGGAGAGGCGCTCTGCGTTTTAGAGTTTCCAGTTCTTCTGCTCTGTTTTTTCCCCATCTTTGTGGTTTTATCTACTTTTGGTCTTTGATGATGGTGATGTACAGATGGGTTTTTGGTGTGGATGTCCTTTCTGTTTGTTAGTTTTCCTTCTAACAGACAGGGCCCTCATCTGCAGGTCTGTTGGAGTACTCTGTGTGAGGTGTCAGTTTGCCCCTGCTGGGGGGTGCCTCCCAGTTAGGCTGCTCGGGGGTCAGGGGTCAGGGACCCACTTGAGGAGGCAGTCTGCCCGTTCTCAGATCTCCAGCTGCATGCTGGGAGAACCACTGCTCTCTTCAAAGCTGTCAGACAGGGACATTTAAGTCTGCAGAGGTTACTGCTGTCTTTTTGTTTGTCTGTGCCCTGCCCCCAGAGGTGGAGCCTACAGAGGCAGGCAGGCCTCCTTGAGCTGTGGTGGGCTCCACCCAGTTCGAGCTTCCCTGCTGCTTTGTTTACCTAAGCAAGCCTGGGCAATGGTGGGCGCCCCTCCCCCAGCCTCGCTGCCGCCTTGCAGTTTGATCTCAGACTGCTGTGCTAGCAATCAGCGAGACTCCATGGGCATAGGAGCCTCCGAGCCAGGTGTGGTTTATAATCTCCTGGTGTGCAGTTTTTTAAGCCCGTCGGAAAAGCGGAGTATTCGGGTGGGAGTGACCCGATTTTCCAGGTGCCGTCTGTCACCCTTTTCTTTGACTAGGAAAGGGAACTCCCTGACCCCTTGTGCTTCCCAAGTGAGGCAATGCCTCACCCTGCTTCGGCTCCCGCACCGTGCGCGCACCCACTGACCTGCGCCCACTGTCTGGCACCCCCTAGTGAGATGAAGCCGGTACCTCAGATGGAAATGCAGAAATCACCATCTTTGGCGTTGCTCACGCTGGGAACTGTCGACGGGAGCTGTTCCTATTTGGCCATCTTGGCTCCAATGCAATGGTAGTCTTATAAAACAAGTTTGGAAGTATTCTCTCCTCTTCCATTTTTTGTAACAGTTTGAAACAAATTGATGTAAGTTATTTTTTAAATATTTGATATAATTCAGCTGTGAAGCCATCAGACACTGGGCTTTTCTTTGATACATGACTTATTATTACTGGTTCAATTTTCTTATTCATTATAGTCCCATTCAAATATTCTATTTTTTTATAATTTAATATTCATAGTTGTATGTGCCCAGGAATTTATCCATTTCTAATAGGTTATTCATTTTCTTGGTATGTCATTTTTCATAATACCCTCTTATGACTTTTTATATTTATGTCATATCATTTGTAATGTCTCTTCTTTCATTTCTGATTTTATTATTTATTTGAGTTTTCTCTCTTTCTTCATCTAGGTAAAAATTTGTTGATTTTTCTTATCTTTTCAAAAAATCAGCTCTTAATTTCATTGATCTTTTCTATTATTTTTCTGGTCTCTATTTTATTTATTACTACTCTGATTTTTATTATTTCCTCCCTTCTACTAATTTGGGGTTTAGTTTTTTCCTACTTTTCTGATTCCTTGAGGTACAATGTTAGCTTATTTGAGATCTTTCTTCTTTTATAATGTAAGTTCAGCTCATAGCTACAAGAGAGAATCCTTCCTTCTGCTTGAGCAGAAGAGAGGAAATAGTACTGAGAACTTTATCTTGCCACCAGAATGCCAGATCAGCCACAGTAAGGTGGAGCACTGGGCAAAGTCATGAGGTCCCCTTTCCAGGCCCTAGCACCTGGATGGCATATCTAGACACACTCTGGGCCAGATGGGAACCTGCTGCCTTGAAAAGAAAGACTCAGTCCTAGCAGGATTTATTACCTACTGATTAAAAAGCCCCTGGTCCCTGAATAATCAGTAGGAGTACCAAGGAAGTAGTTGCCATGGGCCTTGGATGAGAATCAGAGACATGCTGGATTCAGGTATAACCCAGCACATTCCCAGCTGTAGTAGCTGTAGATATAGAGAGAGACTCTTTCTTCTTGATAAAAGCAAAGGAAAATATAAAGGGGACTTTGTCTTGCAGCTTGGCTACCAGCACAGCCACAGTGGGGAACAGTATGAAGAGGGTCCTCGGGGTCCGGGATTCCAGGGCTTGACTCTTAAATGGCATTTAGGGACCTACGCTGGGCCAGATGGGAGCCCACAGTCCTGAAGGGAGAGTCCCAGGCCTGGCAACATTCACCACAAAATGACTGAAGAGCCCTTGCGCCTTAAGGAAACATTGGTGATAACTAGGCAGTATTTGCCACAGGCCTGGGGAGATGGTGACCACAGGAAGTGACTGCTCTGCTTATGAAAATGGGAGGAAAGAGTGGGAAGAACTTTGACTTGTGGCTGGGATGCCAGCTCAACCACAGTAAAATAGAACACCAGGTAGATTTCTAAGGTTTTTGACTTCAGGCCCTGGCTCCTGGACGCATCTCTGAACCTGCCAGGAGAAAGCAGAAACTGGCCACCCTGAAAGGAAAGACACAAGCCTTTCTGGCTTCACCACCTGCTAATTGTAGAAGTTATAGGGCCTTAAATGAATATAGGTGGTAGCCAGTGAGTGGTTACTGTGGGCCTTGGGTAGGACCTACTAATGTGTTGACTTCAGGTCTGACCCAGCACATGCCCAGTGGTAGTGATCACAGGGGTGCTTGTGTCACTCTTCCCCTAGCTACAGGCAGCTCAGTACAGAAAGAGTCACTCCATTCATTTAAAAGAAAGGGAAGAAAATGAGTCTCTGCCTGAAAATGCAGGGAATTTTTCTGGATCTTACCCAAGACCACCAAGGCAGTAGCTCTATGAGTATTCAAGAGCCACAGCATTACTGGGCTTGGGGTGCCCCCTAATGCAGATATGGCTGCAGTGACCAAAGTCTTAGATCACAATACTCAAGTCTCTTCAAATACCTGGAAAGCCTCCCCAAGAAGGACAGGTACAAACCAACCTAGACTGTGAAGATTTCAAGAAATACTTAACTCTTCAATGCCCACACACTGATGAACACCTGCAAGCATCTAGACCATCCAGGAAAACTTGACCTCACCAAATGAGCTGAACAAAGCACCAGGGACCAATCCTGGAGAAAAAGATATGTGATCATTCAGACAGATAATTCAAAACAGCTGTTTTAAGGACACTCAATGAAATTCAAGATAACACAGAAGGAATTAAGAATCCTATTAGATAAATTTAACAAAGAGATTGAAATAATTAAAAAGAATCACGCAGAAATTCTGAAGTTGAGAAATGTAACTGACATGCTGAAGAATGCATCAGAGTCTCTTAATTGCAGAAGTGACCAAGCAAAAGAATTACTGAACTTGAATAATGGATATTTAAAAATACACGGTTGAAGGAGACAAAAGAAAGAATAAAAACAGATGACGCATAACTACCAGATCTAGAAAACAGCCTCTAAGAAGAAAATCTAAGAGTTATTGGCTTTAAAGAGAAGGCAGAGAAAAAGATAGGGGTAGAAAGCTTATTCAAAGGGATAATAACAGAAAACTTTCCAAACCTAGAGAATGATATCAATATCCAAGTACAAGAAGGTTATGGAATACCAAGCATATTTAACCTCAAGAAGATAACATCAAGACATTTAATAATCAAACTCCCCAAAGTTAAAGATAAACAAAGAATCCTAGAAGCAGCAAGACAGCAAGAAGAAAGAAACAACATACAATGGAGCTCCAATATGTTTAGCAGCAGACTTTTCAGTGGAAACCTTATAGGCCAGGAGAGAGTGGCACGAGGCGTTTAAAGTGCTGAAAGGGAGGGAAAAAACCCTTTTACTCTAGAATAGTAAATCTGGCGAAAATATCCTTCAAACATGAAGGAGAAATACAGATTTTTCCAGGCAAACAGAAGCGGAGGGATTTCATCAACACCAGACATATCCTACAAGAAATACTAAAGGGAGTTCTTCATTCTTAAAGAAAGGGGTGTTAATGAGCAAGAAGAAATCATCTGAAGGTACAAAACTCACTGGTAATAGTAAGTACACAGAAAATTACAGAACACTGTAATTGTGGTGTGGAAACTACTCATACCTTCAGTAAAAAGACTAAAAGATGAACCCATCGAAAATAATTACAACTGCTTTTTAAGACATAGGTAGTACAATAAGATATAAATAGAAAGAACAAAAAGTTATAAAGTGAGGGGATGAAGTTAAAGTGTAGTTTTTCCTTTGCTTGCTTGTTAGTTTGTTTATGCAATCAGTGTTAAGTTGTCATCAGTTTATAATAATGGGTTATAATATATTATTTCCAAGCTTCATGGCAACCTCAAAAAACCTACAACAGTTACACAAAAATAATGAGGAAGAAATTAAAATATACCATCAGAGAAAATCACCTTCACAAAAAGGAAGACTGGAAAGAAGGAGAAAAAAAACAAGAGAAGACTACAAATAACCAGAAAACAAATAATAAGATGGAAGGAATGTGTAATAACTTATCAACAATGAAGTTGAAATTTCAATGGACTAACCTCTCTAATAAAAAGAAATTGAGTGGCTGAATGTATAAAAAGACAAGACTCAGATCTGTTGCCTACCAAAAACACACGTCACCTATACAGACACGCATAGACTGAAAATAAAGAGATGCAAAAAGACATACCATGCAAATGAAAACCAGAAAATAGCAGGAATAGCTATGCCTATATCAGAAAAAAATAGATTTTGAGATGAAAACTTTAAAAAAGACAAAGAAAATCATCTTATAATGCTAAAAGTCTCCATTCAGCCAGCAAGAGGATATAAAAATTGTAAATATAAATGTACCCAACACTGAACCACCCAAATATATAAAGCAAATAGTATTAGAGCTTAAGAGAGTAATAAACCCCTATACAACAATAGCTGGAGACTTCAACACTTCACTTTCAGCTTTATACAGGTCATCCAGAGAAAAAAATCAAAAAGGAAACATTGGACTTAATCTGCACTATGGACCAAATGGACCTAATAGATATTTACAGAACATTTTATCCAACGGCTGTAGAATACACATTCTCCTCAGCACATGGATCATTCTCAAGGAAGTTCATATGTTAGGCTACAAAACATTTTCATTTTCATTTCAAAAAATTGAAAAAATTAAAATAACATCAAGTATCATTTCTGACCACAGTGAAATAAAAGTAAAAATCCATAGCATTCCTATATTAAAACATCTCATGTACCACATAAATATATATACCTTCTATTGTACCCACAAAAATTAAAAATTAAAATAACCTGAAATATAATTACAAAAGGTTTTAAAAAATAACAAGGGTAATTTTGTAAACTATATGAACACATGGAAGTAAAACATGATGCTCCTGAATGACAAGTGGGCCAATGAAGAACCTAAGAAGGAAATTAAAACATTCCTTGAACAAATGATAAAGGAAACGTCACATTCTAAAACATATAGAGTAGAGCCAAAGGGCTACTAAGAGGATAGTTTATAGCAATAAGTGGGTACATCATAATGTTAAACAAATTTTAAATAAACAACCAAATGGTGCATCTTAAAGAAATAGAAAAGGAAGAGCAAACCAAACTCAAAATTAGTAGAAAAAAGAAATAATCAAGATCAGAACAGAAATAAATGAAATTGAAATGAAGAAATCAATACAAAAGATCAACAAAATGAAAAGTTTGTTTTTGAAAACATAAATAGAATGGACAAACCTTTAGCCAGACTAAATATGAAAAATGAGAGAAGACTCAAATAAATAAAGTCAGAGATGAAAAAGGAGACATTATAATTGATACCACAGAAATTCAAAGTATCATTAGCAGATAGTATGAGCAGTGATATGCCAATAAACTAGAAAACCTAAAAAATTGATAAATTCCTAGACACACACAGCCTACTAAGATTGAACAATGAAGAAATACAAAACCTGAACACACCAATAACAAATAATGAGATGGAAGCTGTAATAAATACTCTCTCAGCAAAGAAAAGCCTGGAATCTGATGGGTTCACTGCTGAATTTTACCAAACATTTAAAAAGTAACTAATACCAATCCTACCCAAACTATTTTGAAAAATAGGGGAGTAGGGCAAACTTCCAAATTTATTCTATGGGCACAGTATTACCCTGATACTAAAACCAGACAAAGACACATCAAGAAAGGAAAACTACAGGCCAATATCCCTGATGACCATTGATGCAAAAACCCTCAACAAAATACTAGCAAATCAAATTCAACAACACATTTAAAAGATCATTCATTACCACCAAGTGAAATTCATCCCAGGGGTACAAAGATAGTTCAACATATGCAAATCAGTGTGGTACATCTTATCAACAGAATGAAGGACAAAAACAATAACCATCATTTTGGTTGAAGCTGAAAAAGCATTTGATAAAATTCAACATCCCTTAATGTTAAAAACCCTCAAAAAACTGGGGACAAAAGGAACATACTTTAACATAACAAAAGCCACATATGACAGATCAATTACCAGTATCATAACGAATGGGGAAAAATTGAAAGCCTTTCCTCTGAGATCTGCAACATGACAAGAATGCCCACTTTCACCACTGTTATTCAACACATTACTGGAAGTTCTAGCTACAGCAATCAAACAAGAGAAAGATATAAAGGGCATTTAAATTGGGAAGGAAGAAGTCAAAGTATTCTTGTTTGCAGATGCTGTGATCTTGTATTTGAAAAAACCTAAAGACTCCACCAAAAACTATTTGAACTGATAAATTCAGTAAAGTGGCAGAATAAAAAATCTACATTCAAAAATCAATAGCATTTGTATATACCGAACAGTGAACAATCTGAAAAAAGAAATCAAAGAAGTAATCCTATTTACAGTAGCTACAAATAAAATACCTAAGAGTGAACTTAACCAAGGAAGTGAAATAGTTCTACAATAAAAAGAATAAAACACTGATGAAAAAAATTAAAGAGGACACAAAAAGTGGAAAGATACTTCATGATTGTGGATTGTAGAACCAATATTCTTAAAATGTCCATACTACCCAAACTAATCTACAAATTCAATACAATCCCTATCAAAATGCCAATGACATTCTTCATAGAAATAGAAAAAACAATTCTAAAATTTGTATGGAACCACAGAAGACCCAGAATAGCCAAAGCTGTCCTGAGCAAAATGTACAAAACTGGAGAAATCACATTATCTGACTACAAATTGTACTACAAAGGTATAGTAATCGAAACAGGATGGTCCTGGTATAAAAATAAACAGATAGATGAATGGAACAGAAGAACCCAGAAAAAAAGATCCATACCTCTACAGTGAATTCATTTTCAACAAAGCTGCCAAGAAACTGCATTGCAGAAAGGATTGTCTCTTCAACAAATGGTGCTGGAAAAACTGGATATCCATATACAGAAGAATGACACTAGACCCCTATGTCTTGCGATATCAGTTCAAAGTGCATTAAAGACTTAAATCTAAGACTTAAAGTATAAAACTACTAAAAGAGTACATTAGGGAAACTCTCCAGGACATTACACTGAGCAAAGATTTCTTGAGTAATACCGCACAAGCACAGGCAACCAAAGCAAAATTCAACAGATGGGATCACATCAAGTTAAAAAGCTTCTGCACAGCAAAGGAGACAATCAACAAAGTGGAGAGAAAACCCACAAAGTAGAAGAAAATATTTGTCTCTGATATCCCTTATCCATCTGATAAGGAATTAATATGCATAATATATAAGGGCTCAAACGGATCTGCAGGAATAAATTTAATAATACATTTAATAATTTGATTAAAAATGGGCAAGATATCAGAATAGACATTTCTCAAAAGAAGACATACAAATGGCAAACAGATGTATTAAAAGATGCTCAATGTCACTGACCATCAGAGAAATGCAGATCAAAACTACAATAAGATATCATCTCACCCCAGTTAAAACTGCTTTTATCCAAAAGTCAGGCAATAACAAATGCTGGTGAGGATGTGGAGGTAAGGGAACTGTATTAGTCCGTTTTCACACTGCTATAAAAATACTACTCAGAACTGAGTAACTTATAAAACAAAGGAGATCTAATTGACTCACAGCTCCTCGTGGCTGGGGAGGCCTCAATAGAGAAACTTAAAATCAAGACAGAAGGGGAAGCAGGCACCTTCTTCACAAGATGGCAGGAGAGAGAGACTGCATGAAGGAGGAACTGCCAAACACTTATAAAACCATCAGATCTCGTGAGAGCTCACTCACTATCACAAGAACAGCATGGGGGAAACTGCCCCCATGATCCAATCACCTCCCACCAGACCCTTCCCCAGACGCATGGGGATTATGGGGATTACAATTCGAGATGAGATTTTGGTGGGGACACAAAGGTAAACCATATGAGGAAAGCTTGTACACTGTTAATGGGAATGTAAATTAACACAACCACTATGAAAATCAGTTTGGAGATTCCTCAGAAAACTAAAAATAGAGCTACTATATGATCCAGTAATCCCACTGCTAAGTATACACCCAAAAGAAATGAAATCAGCAAATTGAAAGTATGTATGAATTTCCATGTTTATTGCAGCATTATTCGCCATCAAGATTTGGAAGCAACCTAAGTGTGCATCAACAAATGAATGTGTAAAGAAATGTGGTACATATACACAATGGAATGCTATTCAGCCATAAAAACGAATGAGATCCTGTCATTTGCAACAACATGGATAAAACTGGAGGTCATTATGTTAAATGATATAAGCCAGGCACAGAAAGACAAACATCACATGTTCTCACTTATTTGTGGGAGCTAAATATAAAACAATTGAACTCATGGAGATAGAGAGTAAAAGGATGGTGATCAGAAGGTGGGAAGGGTAGTGGGAGTTTTAAGGGGACATGGTTAGTGGGTTCAAAAAATAGTGAGAAAGAATGAATAATATCTAGTATTAATAGAACCACAGGTAACTAGAGTCAACAATAATTTATTGCACATTTTAAAATAAGTAAGAGTATAATTGTATTGCTTGTAACAGAAAGAAAGAATAAATGCTTGAGGTGATGGATACCCCCATTTACCCTGATGTGACTGTATGCCTGGATCAATATATCTCTTGTACCTCACAAATATATGCATCTACTATGTGTCCACAAAAAGTAAAAATTAGGAAAAACAAATGTTAGTCATAATCTTTCTTGTCACTTTCATCATCATCATTATCAACAACTAATGAATGATGGAAATAAATACAGTTAAAAGTCAGAGATGTTTTAGCAGTAGAAAATAAATAAATGTATTGTCTTATTATTCAATACATTAATAAATGGCATATGCTTTACTATTTGACCAAGTTTAAAATATTTTGATAACTGAAATTCTACATAATTGGTTTCTTTTAAAGCTCCTTTATGTTTTGTTTAACACATTTAAACACATTATTATGAGAGTCTGTAGGCCTCACAAGACTGCTAAAAGGACCCATGGAACAAAAATTGCTTAAGAACCATTCTTCTAGAGGGTCACAAATAATGCTATATTCAACGGCTTTTCTTCCAGTCAACAATGAAAACTTCTTCTTCTGAGATTTCAGCTAAACTGAAGGATTATGAGAACTTTTTCTTTTCTTTCCTGATTTCTAGGTTTTTCCCACAACTTCTGACACTTTTGATTATCCTCTACAAGTAGTCAATCTCTCCTCCATTGGCTCACATGCTGTTGCAAAACCCTGATTTTTATCATATTTCTTTAGTTGTTTTTCCTCAGTCTCTCATATAGACTTCTCATTCATCTCCCTGTCCTTTAGTTTTGAAATCTCTGAAAGATCTCTGACTTTTAAAAAATCTCCTCCAAAGTCAACATCAAGTCAGTTTCTAAGATCTTTTACTTCTTTTTTCTTAAAAACGTCTCTTATACGTCTCTTATTTCTCATTGTTACTGCCACCACTATAGCCTGTGTCCTCAATTCCTGGTTCTAAAACTACTACAACAGCCTCCTAAGGGGTCCCCCTCACTTCAGTCTCTCTGCTTTCCAATCCATTTAACACAGTGTTTCCAGAATACTTTTCTAGTTCACTAACTTGACAACATTATTCTTCTCCTTAACTTTTTCTTCAAAATTTTATCAATGTAAAACAGGCTTGCATTGAAGGTTTAATCAGGTTCTTTGGTGTAAGCAACAAAACCAACTGGCTAACTGAAAACTCAAAAAAGAAAAGAAAAAATAATATAATATTATTGGAAGAACACAAGGTAGCTCACAGAATTGAAGGACCAGCTGAAGAGAGCCACACTTAAAAAGAACATGAACTAGGAGAGAACTAGGAGAGATCTAGTGATCCAAGTCAAAGGAGAAAATGGATAAATCAAGAAATTATTTTCCTCATTATTTCTCTCTGCTCAAAACCCAAAGTCCAGGAGAACATTGAAATGACCTAGCTTGGATCACATGTCCATCCCTTAGAGAGAGCAGGATACTTTTATTAGAGGTCTATCAAGACTATCCATGTGAGAGAAAAGTTTATTCATCTCTAGAATTTCCAAAAGAGGGAATGAATGTATGCTGGATAGCCCTAAACAATAAATGTCCACTACAAAGCTTCTTCTTCTCTGTACAGTCCTGACATACTTTCCAGATTTATGTCTCTGTACTTCAGTACATGCTCTAAGCTAAACTGTTCCACTTATCTTCTCCTGATTCATTCCTGATATTTTTTTCTTTCTTTACAACTTTGTTCATGCCATTTCCTCCCTCTGGAAAGTGTTGTTCTTTCCCCTTCTGTTGAAATCCTGTTTACCCTTTAATACCTAGATCAAACATTTATAAACCCTATCTGACTATATTTGGACAAAAATCATCTCTCATTTTGTGGCTTTTGTTAGTACTATTTTAGGGTAGTTATCTCATACTGTGTGTAGTGTATTTATGTTTGAACTAGTTTTATCTCTCTTACTAGAACATAATCTCAGTAAACACAGAGAATCACAACAACATTCACCAGAGTGCTATATATATAGTAAGTGTTCAATAAATATTTTGGTAAGGAACAAATGAAAACAAGTGGAAAAATGAAAGCACATGTATAATTTTGATCTCTTCAGTGGATCTGTTTCTATCCATTGCAAAATACAAAAGAAACATTAAAAAATTCAGCCAATAAATTAGTATGCTTTGTTAATAAGTACCAACACGTCTATTTGAATAAGTCAATGTTTTCCTTATTGAATCTCCCAGTTATTTTACCATCTTCTCCCAAAACCTAAGAGTAATTCTAAAGGACCTCAAAGCCATCCTTTTGTTCAGTGAGAATCGGGACTCTCAAAGCTATAGTGTTCCAAATATTAATAGTAACATCAGAAAACTTGGAGCTGACTCCCCACTAAAACAATTACAAACCTTCTTTGTAATGACAGGTGGGAAGGGTGAGAGGAGTACTCGGTAATGCATAACACTGTAAGAACTTGTGACTTTCTAAATATAGCTATTGATTTCTATCTGCATTGTTCAGTCCAGATATTTAAATCTGAAACATCTAAGTAAGTCTAAATCAAGTCTCCAATAGAATTTTACAAAGAGGTGTCCCTCCAGACCATAGAAATATTTTTTTCCATACTCCCTATAATGTTTTTAGGGCTCTCAAGTACAGCACAGACTGCTGGAAGTTTTGCAACATCTATGTTCCTGGATATATGTCCTGTTATGTTCTCTGAGATTATGTAGAACAAATATCCTACTGTGGAACATATTTTATAGTGTAGTGTTTGAAATGGATGTTTTATGTTAAGTTTTTCAGCCTTTATTTTATTTGGCTAGACTCTTTCTATCCCTTTATCCCAATGCCAAAAAAGTGCCCTATTATAAAGGATTAACAAAGATAAGGGAGTTTGAAATAGAATTGCAGTTGGCTATTACAAGAGTGTAAATGGGGAGGAACAGGGAGGTTCCCCTAATTATAGCAGAAAATATGTAGCAGCAGAAATAACACTGAAATAAACTTTTGTAACAGAGATCATTCTCTTGAACCTCCCCAACTGGTTAGGGTTGGTTTCGGCTAAGGTGGAGCTGGCTCTGCCATTACGTTGTTGTTATTACTGATAAGTTTTTTTTTTATTGTGCTATGAAGTATCTACATGGCATTTTACAGCATCACCCATAATGACCAAGTCTCTTTCCTCCAGTTTTGAAGTATCACTTAGGGTAAATATTCAGGTAGGTGGACTTATAAAAAGTAGAATTTCATGTTAATTTTATACACATCTCTCACTGCCCTCTTGAATTTCATAGATATTTACTGTACACTCTTAATACTTAAAATGAAAGATGTGATGAGATATCCTGACACAAATCTACCAGCTGTCTCTGACATACATCTTATTTGACGGGACCAGTCTTTCTTCCTCCATTCCATTTATTCATCTATTCATTTATTTAATATGTTTTTATTTGGCCTCCCAGAAGAAAACAAGGGGATCTATTTTGAAAGTTTCTAAATTGCATTTTTTTTGGCAAACAAAAACTGGATTTTGATCAATATTTACTTGTATGAATGAGGAGCTTCAGTCAACAACTTTTAGGCAGTGCTTCGTATGAGCAGACAATTGAGAGATATATAAAGTATCTAATCATGTATGATCCAGGAGGATTTTCTGATATTTACATAGACAGATTACTTAAGACCAAACTATTCCCTTCTACTCGGGGCCAAACTAGAAACAGTCCAAACAGAGTTACTGAATCAATCAGTAAAACACCTACCATGAACCCTTAACTGACTATAGAAACATTACCAAAAAGATAAGGAAAACCCACACGTGAAAACATTTCAGAATGGTTTGTCCCAAGATTGTAATTTTTGTGGGTCAGCACACCCCTGCTTAGCATTGAAGAAAGACCACAGTATTACATTTTTCATGCCTGGCTTACTAGAAATGTCAAGATGCGTTTCCGTAGGTGTGCACACATATCAATTATGTTAGGAACAATCAAATTTAAAAGAGCTGTATTGTTTCAAGATTCTCTCTCTCTCTCTCTCTCTCTCTATATATATATATATATGTATATATATATATACACACATACATACATTTATATGTGTATATACGTGTATGTGTATATGTGAAATTTGCCAGAGAGAACATTTATTATTCTCTCGATTTCCTCCACATATTATTTTCTAGGCAGATAAAGCTTAAAATTAAATACACATCACGAGGTTTTAGAAATCATTATTTTAATCTCCTTGATGAAGACATCTAAATTCTGTGAAAGAATTTACCTTTTCTTACAGCAATTTAATACCTCTAATTAAACCTTACAGAATTGTAGACTATACCAGTGTATTCTATATTAAAAGTTGTTCACTTAACTCATTATACTATTTTTTCTCCTGAGGTATTACACATTATTTATAAATTAGGATTTTGAATCTGTGCCATTGGGTTCAGGTGTTAAAATATTTTAGCTTGGTGATTTGATGTATAATGCCCTGACCTAATTCCCCCCTTGTGTTCTGATTTAACAATGCCATAAGTAGAAAGTCATGAATGCAATAAAATGTTATAGTGGATCTTGTCCATTATTTTTTGGTTAGAGGAAGTGGTAAAGTTTGAATTTTTATAAATCTTGAGATATTTCATAAGAAGTCACATTCACAGTTTTCTTCTCTCTCTCCCTCTTTATCCTTTTCTCTAAATATATATATTTTCACTTCTATATTCCAACAAAATTTAAGTTATTATGGGTAAAAGAAGAGGCTTGTTATTTTCAATGAAGATGCCTTACTAAAACCTAACTCCCAGGCCAATTCCCATCACAGGACATTCAAACTAAACATCTTAATTTCATTGCTCATCAGGTGAGTAACACTAAGTTTTTATGAATGTGAGACACACCCAACTAAACCAGTTTTAAATTTGTACACATTACATTGCTCAGATTGGCAAATCGTAGCATAATCTAGTCTCCAGGACATTCGTGAGTCATTAATTTTTTTTTAAAAGGACTTCTTGAAATCAACCTTGTCAACACTGATGATAATTGGAAAAGAAACGTAACTGACTTATTTGCAAGTAGGACTGCTTAAAATTGTATCCCATCTTTATCATCAGTTATGCTACTTCAAGTATGCTGGCCCAGGAGAAACAAAATGCCTTTTTGTATCCTGTAGAGCAAAATCGTTTTGCTAATCAGTGGAATAGTTGATTTCAATAGTAGACAGCTGTCACTCTTTGCCTCTACAAAATATATATATATATGTATATCATAGTTAAACTAAGCAGCCAATTTTGAAGCCAAAATCCTCCAAACTACTGAGTTTGGGTTAATTTTATAAGGCATGGTGAGTACAGGATAACCACACAGAAGCAAGATGATTTGAAAAATTGTTAGCACTTCCCAAGTTTTTGCTCAATGAACTGTTTTGCAAATAAAAATGGCTTGGAGCACATCAATGCAATGATTTTCCATTGATTTTTACTGGGGAAAAAGCACAAGATAAGGGGATAAGCTTTCTCAAAGGTCTGGGCACATTCCATTAATTCATTCATCTATTTGTTTATTTGTTTATTCATTTATTTGTTTATGCAGCCAACTTATTGCGTGCTCCATCTCTGTGTGAGTCCCTATGCCAGGTTTTGGGAACATCATGATAATAAAAACTCAACACTGTTACAATGCAGTGTGATAAATGTTATGATAGGTTTCAGCTTAGGACACTATTGAAGCATGCAAGAGGAGAATTTAATCCAGCCAGAAAAGGCATTTTAAGGATAATGACATATAAGCTTACATGTGAAGCCCAGATAAATAAAGTGGTTGAGTATTTCAGATGAAGTGAGCAGGCAATGTGTTCAAAAGACTGGAAGAAATTATTTCAAAGCCTAGAATACATTTTTCTCTGAGTTTTCATTACATTATTATATCCCCTATAACACAAAAGTTATCCTCCCCTTCTCTTATTGTGGCGGAACTCAGTTTGCTGGTTTTTCTTAATTAAGATGAAAATGCAATTGCAACAAAATGCCTGTAAATACAAAGTCCAGGGAATGTACAGTTTTATGGGAGGGAACCAGCAATTATGAAATATGTGTTTCTTCACAGGGTCCCCCAATCCAATTAACAATGTGGCATACACAGTGACCCAAGTGTGAGAAAAGTTGGTTAAACAGAGAAGCTGACTTATTAGACCAGATATTAACCAGATCATTTTAATGCTCTTGATTCCACTGTCTAGTGCTTCTTCAAACAAATTTCAAGTGATAACTTATCTCACTTGTCTAAGTCATCTAAGGATTTACATTTTCAACCATGGTGGCTGTCATCTAGAATGGCTTTAGAGAGGAGGCTGAGAGGAGAGGGAAGAGAGAAAGTAGCAGACACAAATGTAGTCAATATTTATATTTGAGTCATTTCATCAGGTGTATTATTGTAGTATCCATAGATGTTTTTATTGGAAAATGAAATATTCCATGCACTTTCTCCCTAATCAAAAAAATCATGTACTATGTTTTTATATGAATCATACTCGTTAAATGTCAGTATCAGTGTGGGGGCACCGACTTAATATGATTAATTTCACCCCTAAGTCTTGAATCTTTCTGCCTCATAATTTATAACTCTGAGTGACTGGAGTGAAAGCTGCATCAATGGTTCTATTGCAACAAGATAATCTTTTATCCTCCAAGCATCTACCCACAAAACACCTCCTTGTTTGGTAATTAAACTTCAGCTACTTCATTTACTTACAATTAAAAAATCTCATTCTGAATGGTTTGAAATATCCTAAGAGAGAAGCAGATGCTATAAATAGAAAATGTTCACCATTAAGTGGGACCATCTGGGAAGGGCCTGTGGTTATTGTGAGGATGCTTGATAAAATCCAAGTTTTTATGTGAGTTATTTTTCATCTTGGTTCCTAACGCTGTATTTATATTATGGGTGTGTGCAGTTAATTTGGTCTTCACATTCGTCAAGCAGTTTTAATACAGCACTAAATGCTGAGGCAAGATGAAAGAAAAAATACCACTTGTGTTTTGGAGGGATTGTTTGCAGGGGCAGTTAGAGTAAAATGAATTTAGTTGGAATCAGTCTTATCTATAAAACAGACAAGAACATTTGTTTCGTTATGTGAACTTTGATCATGAGTTTAATAACATGAACAAGTAATCATGTTGCTGCCTATCCACAAATTATTATAATAACACCTTCTACTATAATTATACATTCTCCTAGACACTCAAACTTTACTGACATTATCTAATTTAAAATTTGAAAACTCTATTGACATAGTGAGCCCCTAGGAGTTAAAGGTCAAATAACTTTTTGTGTAGCTTTCATAAACAGAAAGGGGAGTTGAGAAAAAAATATAGGAAAATAAATTTTAGGAGACACTTCAAACCTCAAAACTGAATAGCAACGAAGAAGCCAATGAGGCAGCCAATGGTAGAAAGACCACTAAATGGGAGCCAAGAAAGCTGGTTTCAAGTCCTGGTGTTGCTACTAATCAGCTGGGTGAACTTGGGCAACCCACTCAACTTCTGTTCATGTCTGTCCACTATAAAACAGCAGAGATGGAATGAGTGTTCTCTATGGTCCCTTTCAGATCTAGCAGGCTCTGATAAATTTATTGTTTTTTTGAGTGCTTGAGATGGTTCTAATTCTTGAAATGTCAAATTAATAGGGCTCTATTTGCCTCCACATTTTATAAAGGCTCAGAGGGTATTTCTGACCTGAGAATGGGCACTGAGGCCAAGGACAGTCTCAGGTATACTGCTTTATTCAATTTATATGAAACACTGCATTGCAATATAATTCTATGTAGAATTTCCACACCAGTTTGGCTTATTTAAACCCCTTGCTATTGCAGATGTGAGTGAAAGGATTAATGGTGAAGGAAAACCTATTCCTAGTTTTTTAGTTAAACAGCATGTCTAGCCCCTTCCTCCAGCAACCAGCAATTACTAGGGAAAAGCTGGTGTCACTCCAGATTTATGCCCTACACACACACACACACACACACACACACACATACTTTGTCACCCAGATTTGAATGATAAACTTTCCTCTCTTCCTCCTATTTTCTTTCCTTCATCTCTGTCCTTTTACCCCATCTTTCTCATAGGTCAACATTAGATCTGGTGAGGGGGAAGGGTAAGCCCCTATGGAAACAGTTTACTGATTAAACAGGGTAGTAGTGCCTTCAGATTAGTCATTCTGCTATCTGATTTGAGGATGCCCTTAAGCACGTTTAGAACTTGATAATGAGTGTCTGTAGAAACAAAAATTGCCCCTCTTTTACAACAGTTGGTAAATTACAAGAAACAAAATGAAATATTTGGTTCTTCAAAATAGCAAAACAGCACAAGTTGAAAAGAATTAGTTACTCTAACTAAAATGTATCAAAAGAAAAACTGAATGTTCCTTCTGAAAATAATCTAGTCTAAGAGGAGCTGGGAAATTTTTCTCTTTATGTAAGACTGGGCTTGTTTTGTATGCCTGGTGGTGAGAGGGAATAAGTAGAGTTCTTTATTAAATCTCAGATAATATTTTGATTAAAATGGCACTGACAGTTTTTAAACAGGTTTGCTGAAAAGCTTGATTCCCACAACTTTAAGTAAAATGTAGATAGTAAATCTTGAAAAAATGTATGTATAGCAACCAGAAAAATGCCTTGCTTCCAGTAGGCTCTCAGATGTGTATTAGTTGATGGAATGATTAAATTTTAGAAGTTTAGAACTTGAAAAAATAATTAAAGAGTCTAGTCTAATTCAAATTTTCTCATTTAACAAATAGGGTAACTGAGGTTCAGAGAAGAGAGTGAGTTCCAAAGGGTTGTATAACTATGAGTAAGTTCGCAAAATATGTTTCTTATGTAAAAGATGTCAAAGGCATTTTCTATCAATATTGGTTCTAAAGGAAGATTATATAATTAATAGGTATACGCTATAATTATGGGAAGTTATAAAGAGCCTTGCTACGAAACAACCCACTAATGCAATTATATAATTATAAGGATAAGTGCTTTCTAGTGAGAATTCCTTAAAGAGAGAGAGAATGAATGTACTTGAGGCCAGTCAAGGCAAATCTAAAACAAAACTTTTTTCTTAAACTAGAAATGAAAGCAATAAAATTAGGCTGCAAAATTGGAGTATATCTTTTTATTATCTACTACAAATTTTGCTTTGCTTATGTAATTCTATTTTAAATCAATAACCAAAGCTTTGAGCCCTAAGAAAAGATGGGGAGAGAAGGACTAAAAATTACCTAGCATTTACCCAAACGTTGGTTCTGAAGTCCTGAAAGTTGTCGGCCTGTTATTGCAGATGAGTAAATTGAGGCACAGAAAGAATAATTTGTCCAGCTACACAGTTCATTACTAGTGGCACTCAGAACAGTCTGTCTCCAGTTCTTCCACATTTAGTCATTTATGTGAATAAAGTAGAGGTGAATAGAAACGAGTCTTTATTTTCTGTTCACCTCCTAGTATGCTGAGTTTTTATAAACTAAGAAGCACATTTAAATGTAAATGTTCATTTATATTTTATATTGTGAAACAGTAAAGATTTATAATTAAAGAGAAATATTTATCTTCTCTACAAGTGATATTTTATCATGGAAAGATAAAATATTTTTAAAAGCAAGACATTAATCCCTTAACCTACTATGAATATCAAAGTTTCTAAAGCAGAAATGTTTTCATTTTTTAAAAAAATTATTCATTTAAATGGGAAGAATAAGTTTAAATAATTCAATATTTAGCCTTATTTAGTGAAGTAAGCTAAATGAAAGCACCAGACACTTGAAAACATCGAGACAAGAAATATAGAGAACCTCAAGTCCCACATATGTAGAATCTATGATCTTTTACATTGACCTTTAATTACAGTATAAGAGAAAAAAAACAAAATTAACAGAGAAAATTTTACCCCTCGCAATCTTAATTATGCATATTAAGAACACAAAATATTCAATCATGTTAAAAGCATTCACACATACAATATTTGTGCTAATTATAAAATGTTCTCATTTATTTATTCAATTAAGTTAAATGAACTAATGTGCGATAAAGCACATTGCAAGAAAAAATACATTATAAAATATAAGATTTTAAAAACAAAAATGGGACCTAGAGAACCTCTGCCTAGCAACCTCTTGTTAAACAATCCATCCACTTGCATGCTTAAGATTAGAAGATGCTAATGGTAAAGCTGTCCCTATTACCTCCTATATTCGAGGGCAAGGGGAAATGGAAATTGTCCTCTTCATTCCCCTTATGTTTCTGTTAGCATCCTAACAACTTTAATCCTATGACTTTGTTTTGTCCATCTAAGTTATTTATGCTTCTTGTTTCCTCTACCTGCAGCTGTTTGCAAGTGAATTAAGATGATTCAATACCTGTTAAATGGGGATAAGATTCTTTTTGTCTACACAAGACCCCTACTGTAAACTTGGGTGGCTCTTATCTGGGTGCTGCTGTAATAGGCTGTGCTTTCTCTCAACTCATCCTTTTCTCTAAGTGGTACCCAAACAATTAAGAGAGGCTGCAAAGCATGGGAAAGTTAGCATGGATAAAAGTTTTGGCATGTGACCCTTTGGCACCAGGGTCACACTCCTGAGGATTCAAACCAGCTCTTCATGTAACTTCTTCAAACTTCAATAATAAAGAGCTTGAAAATATCTACTGGATAGAATTTTTGTTAGGCCTAAAAATGAGATGATAGACGTAAAAACATTTAGGATCATGTCTGGCACATTGTGAGCACACAATAATTTTTAACTAAAAATTTAAAATAAAAGATAAAAACAAAGAGCAGATCTCTGTTGAGAAGGAGCTCACAATTTAGTAGGAAGACATTTGTGAAAGCAGTGTTCATAAGACAACAAAATAAAAGTGATAGTCTAAATAACATAAAGTTGTAGGGGAGTAGGGAGGGACAGTCAAGTTTTTGTTTGTTTGTTTGTTTTTTGACTCGCTCTGTCGCCCAGGCTGGAGTGCAGTGGCACAATCTCGGCTCACTGCAACCTCCGCCTCCTCACTGGTTCAGGCAATTCTCCTGCCTCTGCCTCCCAAGTAGCTGAGAGTATAGGTATGTGCCACCATGCCCGGCTAATTTTTTTTTTTTTTTTGTATTTTTAGTAAAGATGGAGTTTTGCCATGTTAGCCAGGGTGGTCTTGATCTCCTGACCTTGTGATCCTCCCGCCTCATCCTCCCAAAGTGCTGGGATTACAGGCATGAGCCACCACGCCAGGCTGGGACAGTCAAGTATTTTAAATTAAAAGTGAACAAATGATTTCTTGAAAATAGTAAAAATGAATTTGAAATTCATATTCTGTTCATCTGTTTTTCCAGGCAAATTCTTTCTTCATAAAAATTTTAGTCCAACATCCACATGAATCAATACAGGTTTTGAATTTGAGGACTATAAAATAATGTATACTTTTATTGTGTTTTGAAAATTTGTAGCTGATGTAGTAATATTGTTTTATTATAGTATTACCTTAAGCCTTTGTTAGAGTAATCTGAACAAGCAGTAGGCATATAGAATATAATGTCACCAACTAAAAAGATTTTTTCCTTCTGAACTAGCTCTTCAACAAAATATCAAATCTTAAGCATTTTGCTCATACTACATCTAGGCATCTGGATAACATTTCAGTTAAAATTAGCTAAAACCTAGGATGGGGTTTGATTTGAAAAAGACATTTTAATTGTGTCTCCTTTTTCAGGATATATGCATATACAGTATCTCTTTGTGAGTATAACCCATATATTTATTTTGAAATGACACTTTTGATTCACTGAGTAGGCCAAAAACAAACACAGAAATTCAGCAGTCATTTTATTCACTCTTAATTAGGATTGTTAACTTTGTGGTCTCAAAAAAGGTGCCTTAAAGAAAGATGACAGTGACAAATTAAGATAAAAAAGTAGCACTTTATAACTATTATGAATATGTTTGGAAAAGAACAAAATGCATCAGTTGGTAAAAACTGAGCTGGGAGTGGGTCTTAATGTCTAAAAGACTTTGGTGAAATGGTGAGTGAATGATGTGATCCAATACATTGATAATTCATTGGGTTTCCCTGTATAGGAAGCATTCTGGTTCAAAGAGTGATCCTTTGCTTAGTAAATACTTCTTTTTTTCAAGAGTAGTAATTGGCAAGTGTCTAGGAACATTAATTAACTAACTATCTGATTTGATGCTATCATTACAGTCCTAAATCCATAACAACTGGTCTGCACAAAGTCCTTACCCGAACATTAGCAGTATTATTTAGAACATTTGACCTTTGGAAAACATTACTAAAATTTCCATCTAGTGTTGCACATTCCTGTAAAACTAAAACCGGGGGAAAATATTTTTTAAAGTTAACAAATAACTTTGAAAAGCCCAATCTCCATATAGTGATTGGTCGTAGTGACCTTTCCAGTCCTGAGATCACCTGACATTACTACAGTGAGATAGTAACTTGTCCGGTTCGTCCATGGTAAAACATCATGGTTGTGAAATAGAAAGTCATCTTTTTGAGACCACTCTGTTAAATCAGGCTACATGGTATTTATGCGTAATGATGGTTGAGAAAAAAAAAAAACAAGATAAGGGTTCCTACAAAATCAGGCGTTTCTAGTGACAGTCACAGGTAACCAAAAGATTAATACCCATTCTCCTTTACTGTGCAGTATTCCCCACTTCAGTGTTTGATTGCATCAAAACCTTGATACAGTGGTAATGTGTTATTTTTATTTTTGCCTTTTAAAATTATATTCTGGCCTGGAGAGGTGGCTCACGCCTGTAATCCCAGCACTTTGAGAGGCAGAAATGGGTGGATCACGAGGTCAGGAGATCGAGACCATCCTGACCAACACGGTGAAACCCCGTCTCTACTAAAAAAATACAAAAAAATCAGCCGGGCGTGGTGGCGGGCACCTTTAGTCCCATCTACTCGGGAGGCTGAGGCAGGAGAATGGCGTGAACCCGGGAGGCGGAGCTTGTAGTGAGCTGAGATCGCGCCACTACACTCCAGCCTGGGCGACAGAGGGAGACTCCGTCTCAAAAAAAATAAAAATAAAAATAATAAAATTATATTCCTTAGACTTGACTGTCAATCCAGTCTATTTATTATTGCTATTATTTTCATACTAACAGTCTATAAAATCATTTGTCTGGTTGTATTATAATGTCTTGTTTATTTTCATAAAATTGACACGAAGTAGAAGTCCATATATCTTCAGTATTTAAGCCTCAGTAAAGTAGCTTAGCATAGATAATAGATCATTTGAATTAAAGTTATAAGACTTGAGTACCTGCAGACTTTGTCAATGATTTTTTCTATGACCTTAAAAAAAAAAATGCCTAGTTTATTTTAGTAGCTTAAAAGTGAAATTCCTCTTACCTACCTCTCATGATGCCTTAATAATTAAACATAAAGTGCTGCAAAGGTCTTTCGAAAATGCACCCTATTAATGCATAAGGTAGGTTTTATTTTTCTCTTTCTCTCAACTTCATTAGGCACAGACAGTTAACTCACAGTCGCCATTGGTTGGTAAATGGCTAGGGGATTTCTACAGCTAACATTTACTGAGAACTTACTATCAGCCAAGTTCTGTGCTTGGTGGTTTACATGCATTATCTCACTTATTTCCATGATGGCTCTATGAGATGGGTATTTAATTACAGGTCTATGGCAGCAGCCAAAGGAGAAATAAGTCAAATTACAACATATTGCAGAATAAAATTGTAAAGGAGAATCTCTATCTTTAACGCCATTTTGCCTTTTGTTCTTCTAGATATCAATGTCTCTTCAGGCTCCAGTACCTAAAATACCAAAGTATAAATGGCAATCAACAATTTAAAATGCTGTCTCATCCTAGAAAATTTCCCCTTTAAAGCAAAATTAAAGAAATGATGCTCTAACAATGACATTTTCAATACCACATTGTATGGACACTTTGTGGTAGATATCAGGAAATACAGGCCAATCAGAAATCATATAAGAACTATCTACTGTAGTTTAGACTAACTTTTCAGGGAAATCGCTGTAAAAATCCTCCCTTCTACACCACTCCACTCCACCACACACACACACAGTGGCCCAAAGAATCTTCTCATTTCAACCTATGGATAGCCTAAGAAATATGAGATGGAAGTCAAAGGGTTGATTGCTTAATAGTTAATGTCAAGGCATGCCCAAGGAAAGACTGCTGTCTCTTAGGAACACATGTTCCAAGGAGCTTGGTTCTCCACACTCACTAATCTTTAATTTAGCAAAAATCTCAAAAGAATATGCATAGCCCTCGTCCTCTATCAGAATAAAATGTTGGAACAGCAGTCAAGTTATAAGCAACAGAAAAGTTGTCCCCTATAAGTTCCTTAGCTACTTTTGTCCAACCCTGTGCTCACTCAGCGTGCTCTCTAAACTACTCCCCACATGCTCCTTCTTCAAACTTCTTGTTCGTAGGTCAGAGAATAGCTTTTGAGTGCCATGACAGCATTTAATGACTCAATTCACTTGTTACAAAGTCATACATGTGTATGTGCATCACAGTCTGTAAACACACCTAAGGAATAATTTTAAACAATTGGGCCGTTAATTCCCACTTTAAGTCCTTTCAACATTCACATCCACCGGTAAGTCATTAGATTTCATACGCATGCATTTAAAATCTGTTTGCACAGTTGAATGTAATAGCTAGGAAGACTTGATGTGCCTATTTTGAGAGGATGACTAAAAAAAAGTGTCTAGATTTCGTATTATCTGCTCTAAATTACAGAAATGTTGTTTTAAATTCACTTTAGAAAAAAAGCAGGGAAATGATATGGTGATTTGGCTCATATATTCTAATAGCAATGGCTATTAATATAATATCATGCCAAGTAACCATCACTGGAGAAGAACCTGCTTGAAGTTGCTTTTATTGTAAGTTATTTATCAGTAGAGATGCCCACAATACTGGATTTCTGAGGACTCCATTGAACCACTAGCTTGATTCTAAAGCTCATATAATTTAATGACCAATTTGTAAAAGAAAATACCATAAACTCCCAAGAAGAACCATTCAGATTATGAGAGAAACACAATAGAATCTTCTTGAATTCAGAAACATAGAAAAGCAGAGAAAACAATAAAATACAAATGTGGCCTTTAACCGAGACAATGTTTCCATTATGGCACTCATTCATTCCTGTATTTTGAATAGTGGCTTGGGCTATTGTTACCTTGTGTTGAGCAAATTGATGCTGTGTCTTTCATCTGATTTTAGCATCAGAATCGTGAAAATAACATGCTCAAATGTTGTCATAAAAAGGATGAAAATAATTAATGGGGTGTTCTGAACTAGGAGTCAGGTTCTAATAATGGTAAAACCTTTCCATTCTATATCAGGATCAATAAAAAGAAAGCATTCATGTGCATAATCTCTTAGTCCTCACCATAATTATATAAGATTCGTTTCATTATCTTCTCCTTATGTATGAAGAAACCAAAGCTCAAAGAGAAGAGACTAGCTTGAGACCTATGCTGCAAGCTCAAGTATCCTGACACTAAGTCTAAGACTTTGTCCTCTACCCCATAGCTCTGCCTTCCTTTCCCAGTACTGATACTGACTTGTACAAATCACTTAGCCTCTTTGAATCTAATTTTTTTTTTCACCTGCAAATTGGGCATGGGATTTGGAAAGTAAGGATTGAAACTCAGTGGTTCAAATCTAAGAACCAAAGATTCTTTGGGGTTATATCCCTACCTCAAAGGAAGGGCCCAAATATATTGCAAAGAGCACATTAATTTACATGTTCATGAGACACAGTCTGTAGAGTACATAAATAATATATACTGCACATATATGTGTGTAAATGTCATTAAGATTAATAAAAAATACACATTCAATTAAAATCAATGCTGAATTTGTTGTAGCTGTTTGTTAGGTATTTTCTCAATCAACAGCTACTAAAAGTGGTACCTTTATCTTGGGAGAACTACATTTTGCAATTTTAAAAAGGGCTTCTCTATGTGAAAAGATTGGGAATATCTAAACTAAGTGATCTCCAAGACAGCTTTGAGCTTCAAAATTCTATTAAATTGTCATTCAAATCAGGCTTTTTCCAGTTATTAGACAGATTAGGGGACAAGCACAGTGGCTCATGCCTGTAATTCCAGTTCTTTGGGAAGCCAAAGCAGGTGGATTACTTGAGACCAGAGGTTTGAGACTGGCCTAGGCAACATAGTGAGACTCTATCTTTACAATTTTTAAAAAGACAGATTCAGATTTGTTACTTGTTTTCCACCTGGCTATGTAGTATTGACCCATAATACAGTTGATCTGATTAGTCACGTAAAACCAGTCTAAGTACATTTTTATCTAAGAAACTAATTAAAGAGGGGTAGGTGGGAGGTTTGAGAGAATAATGGTTTCAGAAAAGGAATGTATCATTATCTTCATAATTCTTATATACATTTATTATCTTATGATTCTGGATTGTGTGGGAAATAAGGCCAGTTAAGTAAACTGGTATGAGCCTTCTAGGGGCTTGTAATATAAAACCTTTATTATCCTACTACTTTCCCTATCCCTTTTGAAATGTGTCCAGATTAAGGCCAATTCTCACCACCTCCTCTGGCTCAATCCTCCATAATCTCTTGCCTGTAATATGATAATACCTTCCTAATTGGTATCCTTGCTTCTGTCCTAATCCCTTCTATAGTGTATTGTGAACACAGCAGTCAGAATAATCGCTTTACTATATAAATCTGATCATGTCATTAACCTTCTCACAACTCTCCAGTGACTTCCCATATCTTTCAAAGCAAAAACTGAGGTCTTTCAAATGGTCACATGCCCTACATGATTTGCCTTCACACTGTACCTCTATTTTCTATTACTCTCTGCCTCCACTTGGTCCCTCTATTCCAGCTGTGCCTGTATCCACTTCTGGAATTAAAGGTTCCAAGAGATAGATAGTTGTTACTTTGTTATTCATTCTCTGTGGCTCTCCTGCAATAAATTGTAGTTGTCTGAATAAGTGAGGGCACTTGCCAAGCGCAGGAGCTCATATTTCAAGGCAAGGCATTCACACTTTGATAAGAAAACTCTATTTGCTATGGCTTGACAAGAAGTGAATCTAACTTTTCAGGTAACAAAGTAGAGGCAAAATTAACTAACAATCTCATCTGTTTGTTTTATCTAGTGTTTCCCAGGCATTTTTGACTTTTGTGTTTTATGTCGACTTTTATTGTTTTATGACTTGAGGGTCACCCCTACTCTTAAAATCAAGGAGATTTGACAGACGAAATGAAGGCGTAGGTCTTAATTTTATGCTTGGATATTGCACATTGTTCAAACTGACGTGTATAATAGTTAGGAACAAGTTACAACATGCACTTAATTATGTGTCATGCAAACACATTACTAGAGCAGTTTCTGTAGGCACAGCTCCAGGAACAATGAGGGCTTATGCTAGATCACATTTACTACCACACAATAAAGTGTGAGAAACAAACTCAACAAAGCATTCTTCTATTAACATTTTTGCTGCCATCATGTGCATAATAAAATAGAGGTTTTAATCATTCTCCATGTTCAAAAACCTTAACTCAGAGAAGAACTATTAAGTAATCAAATATCAAATGAGCTATACTTACCCAATAAGGTATTGCAAAGAACACCCTTGTAAAAACTGATAAACAAAATATAATTCAATATGAAATAATGGGAAATTGAGAGGGAGTGGTTGGAAAACCCCAGAACACATGTAAGAATGCAACTACAAAGAACCTGTTATTACACGAGACTTGATTTGAATAATCAAAGCTCAGGTATACCTAAGGGAAAAAAGCGATGGCAGGAGATGTTGAGAAAAGGTCTGGCTAGGGAATGAGCTAGCTTGAATGTTATAATTGCATTCTTGTGACTCTTTGTGTTCAGAAATGAATTTATTCTGTATAGATTCCCTAAAAGGGATATTTTACCAGCTTTCTTCAGAGCTAATTAGAATGAATACAAATGCTAGAGTGAAAGGGAGAGAAGGGAAGAAAAGGAGGAGGAAATGAAGAAAGGGAGAAAGGAATAGAAAGATGGAGGCAGAGGGAAAAAAATAATATTTATTTTCTACTAAATATTAAGTGATTTACATACACATTCTTAGAAGTACTCTCAATAACCCAACAAGGTAGATATTATTTCTTTATTTTCAGAGAGGGAAACTGAGGCTGTGAAAAGTTATTTGCCTAAGGTCATGCAGCTACTAAGTGGCTGAGTTAGAATTCAAGCCTAGGTTTGCCTGACCATGCCCATGTGACCATTTCAGTATGTCATAGTTCTATGATAACTCTGACACAGAACTTTGGTTCACAAGTAATGGTCCACATGGGTCCAGGTGGCCCACAGGTTCTCTCATATCATTAATGAAAATAATATAACAATGTCTATTCTTTTGTACCTATCATGCATTCAAAATTTATGCTTTTAATACAAATCTAGACATAACCTCATTGGCATCTCTTCAAACGTGGGACTTTCCCAAATTCTAGGGAGACTTGTTTGGGTTTTTTGCAGAAAGGCAGGAGCAGATGATGTAGGTGGTCCATGAAATCTTTGCCCCATCAAAGGGGCCAATGGGCTGAAAATATTTTGGAGCAACTTACCCAAGTGTATTTTAAAAGATAGGGGCAAATGTAATACCAAAACAGCATGATTTGACACAGCAGGATATGTCTGAAGGTATAATTTTCGGTTGTAGCATGTTTTGGAAAGGAAGCAGTAATTATTTATTAGTTGACTCTTAGGTTTGCTGCCATATCCTCTTTCATTATATTTTTTCTCTATTGAAACTTAAAAAATTAAAAACAAATAAAACATGTACATTAAGTTCTAACTATAAGTGGTTATGAAGCTTCTTTTGGGGTGATAGAAATGTTTTAGAGCTGGATTGCAATGATAACTGGACAAAATAAATGTACTAAAACTCATGAAATCATGTATTTAAAATGGGCAAATTTATGGTATGTAAATTATACCTGCATCAATCTGTATAAAAATGGATTGAATGTAAAAACAAAAATCCAAATTATACAGAATACAGAGTAAAAGAATAAAAGGCGCAATTTCAAATTACTGAATAAATATTCTAAATGAGAGCCTTAAAGAGAATTAAAAAGAAATATTTCTATATAATGCTATGCTACACAGAGATTGGTCATTTAAAAATTTCTTTTCATTGCAGTGATAATCTAAATAGTAGTAGTTAAGAGTTATCGATCATAGTAGCATATACTTGGTACTGTTCTAAATGTTTTACAGGTATTATCTCAATTTATATTCACCAATATTTTATGAGGTAAATAGTATTAATAGCATATTCATTTTACAGATGAGATAACTAAAGCAAAGATAATAAGTACCTTCTCAGATCACACGGCCAGAAAGTTTTGAAGCCAGAATTGATAATCTAGGTAGTTTGATTTCAGGAGCCTTGCTCTTAACATTTCTCATAAGCTAATTAAATTCTACCTAATTTTGAGACCTAGCTCATGTACAACTACCTCTGTGAAGTCATCTTCGAGGTACCCCTTTCCTAACTCTTTCACATTAATACTCTGTACTGAGTTTTGTTATTCTCTTATTTCATGTATTTGCATGTCATCTTACCAGCAGGACTCACTAAAGACAAGAGAATGTGAATACGTCATTCTTTTGTATCCTCCACAATGTTTAGCTCATGACGTAGCCCATGCTTAGTAAACACATGTTTATTAATTGATTCTTTAGGAAATTTTGCTATCATGAACACATATGCTACACATATATGAATATTAGAGACTTGAGGCAGTTTTATAAATTCCTCATACCAAAAGTTCAGCAAATGAGGGATTAAACATTTTAATTAGTGTGCCAACCTTAGTAATGACATTGATTAAACTCTTTAGATAATTACTCTTCTATACTCTGCCTGAGTCGATCTAATGAGAAGAATATACTTCTGGCATCAATATAAAATATGTATTGTGCCCACTTCATGCAGAATAATGTATGCTGAAAACTTTAATATCCTACTCTTCTGGATCCAAACAAGATGGTTTAATAACTGAAACAGCCTTCTAGCGCTGTCTTGTTGCTACTTTTTACCCAAGAAACTAAGATAAACGTGTCTTATGCAAAATTCATCTGTAAAATGAAAAAAAAGTGTTACAATGAGGTTGCACTGTACAAAGTTCTGTGTAAAAATTTAAAAAATGTAAACATTGTCCCTGCTTTTTGGGAGTTTGTTATTTTTTCAGATTATTTAATAAAAAATGTTTCCTAAAATGGATGGGAAAGATACACATTAAACAACTGCTTCTGGGGTATGGATTGGGTATGGGTGGGCATGTCTAATGGACTTGTCATCTTTGCCTATATTTATGTATTATTTAAATTTCTATAATAAAAATGTTTTCATACATTATTTGTGTAACTTTAAAAAAAGTTAGTTAAAAAGAAATTTTCTAGCTTTGTGATTTTTTTTAAATTGACATATTTCAGGGAAAAGGAGTAGGTAGGAATTTTTGCAAGGAATAAGTGAAGTTAAACTCAGCTCCCCCACCAAACTCATTCTCCTTCTCTTTCTCTTTCTCACACACACACAAACACACACACACACACACACACACACTTTCTTCATTAAAAAACCTTCCCTTTTCTAAGTCCTTTCCCTCAGATTATCCACACTTTAGACAACAAAAAGAACTAGAAAATATATTTTTGAGCTTGACAAATAGCATTTAAATAATTTAGAATTTGATGACAACCACCAGTCGGAAAGGAAATCAGAAATGTTTTCAAACAAAAATTTAAGAAAAACACTTTCTAGTTACGTTACCTGACGTTAAAGAAAAGGTAAAGAAATCTGTACTATCAGAGTAATCAAGATGCCAAGTTCCTATTGTTTTTATTTTTGTCCTATTTATTTATATTGATTGGTTTTCTTTGCATGAATTATTTTTAGACAGGTAGGATCTGCCTTTTTTTAGCCTGATGAGTTGTACATGGTTTTGTGCGAAGTCTTCAATTCAAGCGTAGTTGGGGCACAAAGCCACCTTGTGGCTGCAAGTTGATTATTTTCAGTTGTTCTTTCCAAGGAACATGATGTGGTCAGAAATAACAACAACAAAAAAGACCATTCTTATTGCAGCAAAACTACAGGATTCCAACTTCTCTTTTTAAAAATAAGATAATGAGCAACTCTGTCTTATTTGCTTTCACGAAATGAAAGAGTTAAAACATGCATTTGCCTCCTTTCTCCTTCTCACTTTGTTTATGTCCTGCTCATGAAAGATATCATGACATATTATAGGCTTTTCTTGTCAAGCTCTTGGATATAATCTTTAATCATGTTTAATAAAATCATCAGGGCACCTAGCTTAGAAAACTTACTCTATATATTTCGTTTGCATAAATGTAAACTAATATTGTGCCAGGAATTCCAATCACAGAATAGTCATGTAAAATAATAGAACAGACTATAAATATAGATCATCATAGCCTACATCAATCATTCAGTAGACTTTGAAACCAATCAACATAATGACATCCTTTATTAGGAGAGTGAGGAATGCAACTAAGACTCCCTAGACTTTGCCGGAGGGAGAAAAAGAGCAGGCACACTACTCTCTGCATACCAGAAGAATGACTATCATGGTACATCTCACATAGCACATCTTTGCTTGCAGTATACTAAGACCTTGCAGCTACTGTCTGACCTGAAAAAAGAATAAAATCCAAAACACAACAAAAACAAGAACAACAACAATGAATAAACCTATGTCCCCAACAAAAGCTGTCCTTTTCTCCAGAATACCCATGCCTCATCCCAGTGCCACTCATAAATTTAGAACAAAAAGCACATACATATACCTCTCCTAAAGGCATTGATAATTGACCTGCTTCTTCTCAAATTGATTAATTCAAATAAAGCACACACTCTCAAAAATCACCTACTTGATTACATGCCTTTTAAGGACTCTACTGCTTTGTCTTTCAGGTCTCATTAAACTAGAATAATTGGATGGATGGATGGATTTAACTTTTTCTAACCTTTTTCTTTCTCTTTCTTTTTTTCTTTCTTTCTTTCTTTCTCTTTCTTTTTCTTTCTCTCTTTCTCTTTCATCTAACAAGTAATTATTGAGTACTTACTATGTGTCAAGTACTGACTGAGATGTGAAACACAATTTATGGAAGTTTCCAGACCAGCATATCTATAATTATGGTAGAATGTGATAAGTACTAGGGTATGTAAAGTATGGAATAAACAAGAAAATTGTACTTATCTGATCCACCTCCCCCCCGCAAAAAAAAAGAAAGCTTAAATTTTGAAAACGAATATGAACTGGTCAATAGATTGTTGTATGATAAAAATGCTTTTTGGCTGAATGCTTGTATTTAGCTACAAAGTGGAGAATAAATTTGGTGAGGGCAAAACTGTAATAAAGTTTACCTGTTAATAGATTATGTAGTAGTCCAAATAACAAATAATGGCAATTTGATCTAAGATGGTGGCAATGGGTGTGAAAAGAAATTAATAAAGACTTACTAAGAAGACAATCAATTTGATTCGGCAGATGATTTAATGTAGATGAGAAGGAAGACTCAAAGATGACACTCGGATTTTGAATTGGGCAGTTGGAGAGGTGGTGGTGATGCCATTTGTTGAGACATGGAACACAGAACAGATTTGAGAGTGAGGATAGTGATGAGTTCAGCTACAGATGTGTTGTACTAGAAATGGCTGAGAAACATCCAGATACAAATATTCAGTAAGCAACTAGATATTTCATCTGGAACCAAGGAGAAATATCTGGGATAGCGATAGAAATCTCAGAATCATTAGCAGAGGTAGTTATTAGAATCATAAGAATATATGAGATCATCTAGGATGCATTAAAAAAAGACCCAGGACATCAACATGGACCAACTAAACTAGCCCATTTAAGGGAGTGGTATGTCCATAAAACTTATTTTCTCCTCTGAATATTGATTAGGTTATTTATCTATTCATTCAATTAGTGTTTATCAGGCACCTACTAATGAGTGTTTATCAGGCCATGCATAGACAGGTTTAAAAAATATACTTGCTGTCACCATGATAGAAGAACAAAATAAAACCAAGAACTATGATGAAGGTGCCCATTTGATTTCAACAAAAGCCCCAAATAATCCTTTTATAATAAAATTAAATGTTCCAAATTAAGTATTTTATCAAAATTAGTAAAGAAAAGGAAAACACAAAAATGGTTTAAATCACATTGCTTTCAGTGGAATATAGAGATTCCATGTTGCAATTATTTGAAAAAGACAAAATTTGACCCAGGCCTTTTATCAGAATAAGTAGAGAAAGAGAAAATAAAACCTAGCTCTTCTGTGGCCTTGCATGGCTCTACTCATTGCATCCATCAGGTAGGCATTAGAAGGTGTTTGAAGAACTTGCCTACACTGATAGAGCACTATTCATCAAAAACTTTTCTGGAATTATCCTACACAATGATGATGATAGTGATAATTTATCCCTAAATGGATGACTCAAAATCACTAGATTCATCAGGTCTAAGAACTCCTTCATAATGAGCTCAACTTTGTTTGGGAGAATTTTGTCTGTTTTTATTAATAAGTATGTATTCTGTCAGAGCTAAAAGACAAGATAACTACCAGAAAGTATTGTCAGCAATATGAATTACATGGTTTACTACTATATATCTATTGTGATGAGTAACCATTTACTAACATAAATACTACCTTGTAGATTAATTATGACATTCTGCTATAATATGTAAGAAATAAAAATATTACAGTTAGTCATGTGTGCAAATTTAATAACACTTGAACATTTCCTTATAAATATTAGTGATTCAAAGGAAATCAAGGACAGATTGGTACAAGTCAATAATTAAAATTGGCGATAGGAATACAAGCAGAATATGCTTAATAATGCTTTTAAAAATAATAGCAAAAACCCGGATTACTTTTGCACCAACCTAATAAAAGAAGTGTAAATAGGTCCTTAGCTTAATGAAAATTACATATTGTTGATTTGCAAATTTTAGTGTAAGAATTTGAGATTTATTTTCTTTTACTCCTTAACTTTTTCATGGGCAGATTTTTATCCTTAATGGGTGGGAACATACGGAATAGGCAAAGTCCTACAATGAGGTATCTATAAAAATATAATATAGGAACATGTAAGGGGAGGAAAAAAGCTCCTGAAGGAGGTTGCAACTTCATTATGTAGTGCTCTGAAGAGCTGGATCATGACTGTCAGCCATACCCAGCATCTGTGTGGGTAGTCTAGGTTAGGTTTTACATAACTAGGTGTAGCTAGTATGCTTTAGGAGATGACCTCTTTGTGGTCCACTTATAGCAGTACCATATCCAGGTCCTAAAATTTAATTGAATTATTTTGTCTTATGAGATCTACTATTTCAGTATATTGTTTCAAGCTTCAGATGGATCTTTGCTTGAGTTCGAGTTCTGTCACTTAAAACTGTGTGACCTTGTAAAATTAATTTAGCCTGGCTTATCCTCAGTTTCCTTATCTGTAAAATGC
Organism: Homo sapiens; assembly: GCF_000001405.40. Taxonomy (NCBI): domain Eukaryota; kingdom Metazoa; phylum Chordata; class Mammalia; order Primates; family Hominidae; genus Homo; species Homo sapiens. The sequence goes on along the minus strand of NC_000023.11, from coordinate 85,496,661 downwards.
AAATAATTACATTACCTACCTCACATAATTGTTTTGAGGATTGAATGAGACACTGTGTTTCAAAATCACAGCACAGAGCCTGAAGTATTGTAAGCAATCAGTTTTGTTAGCTTTTATATCATCCTCTTCCCTGTGATCTCTGTCATTTCTGTTTTCTGGGACCAGAGATTCATAAGAGAGTCAGCACAGCTTCAAACAGTAACTTTTCTCTACAAAACAGAGACTCCTTCTGAAACCAAGTAAGATCCTATAAGATGGAAGTGCTAAAATCAAGCACTTAGCACAGAAAATGAAGCAGTAGGTAAATTAGCTGGTGCTTTCTGATGCCTATACCTGGGCTTACATTAAAGTGTTATAATTAGACACATTCCCAACGTTCCCAGTTGTTGCCACTATTCAATATTTTTCAGATATTCACATTAAATATCTTTGGCAGTTAGGCCAGGTTTATATTTCAATATGAAAAACCCATGATCACTGTGGGAGAATCCAATGAAGACTCCAAATCTTTAAAAAAGTGTGTTAGGGCCTTTTGTAATTAGTTTTGGATATTTTGGGAAGAGATGGGGAGAAATGATCCTGGGAAAAAGGTCATAGCTAAGATATTCTAAATGTCACAACATAAATTTTAATGGGTTGACAGGAGTGTCACCTGGAATTCTCATGATCACAGAAAATAACCATAATTAAGTGTTTCACAATGCTCGATGTAGACACACCCCTAATGTCCTTGTTTTCTCCACTGCATCTTATTTCCTAATGAGGTCTAGGCAGGAAACTCTGGATGTGGAGGTCCATCGCTTGGTGGTTGAGAATACTTGAGATCTATCTGCACAAAATTATGACACAGATAACTTTTGTGTTACAATTCATAGCCTTCTCATTTCCTTTTGGAAAACTTTTTTCCTCAGGTAGCCCATATCTTTTTGCAGCCTTTTCACTGTTTGTTCTTCTGAATTGTGTTTTCTTCCCAAGGTATCGCTCAGCTCTGAACCTCTTTCCATCTTTCCGTCAAAGAAATCCTTAACCTCTTCTTTCTCTTATTCCTGTAGACCTTAGTAAATGAGAAAAATAAAATCAATCACCAGTTATTATTAATGTCTACTAATGAAATGATTCTTAAATACTAATCTGCAGCATCAAATCACCTGAATAGTGTGGCAGGTATGTAGACTCCAGGGCCTCAGAGGAGACATACTGAATCAGAAGCTCTTAGAATAAGGTCTACAAGTCTGTACTATAAACAGATTTCCCAGATGTGTCTAATGCGTAGCCCTGTTTGAGAACCACTGTGAATATATTGGGGGAATAATGACTTGTCACAAGTGACTTCCAGAAAAAGTAATGCTGTAAATCAAAGGAGGAGTTCTTGGGTGGTGGCAAGCTACTAGAGAGGCTATATTCTCGGTGAGGATGTCACTGAAATAAAATTTCTTGAGTCATTCATACTTTCTATTATAGATGGTGCCTGAGTATTCATCAGCCTTTTTGAGCTATTAGAACATTCCTCAACCTTCCTGGTACCACTTGGGAGATACTTAAACCTCTTCTTTCTCCCTACCATTTTCCTAAGGATGTAGCTACTGACATGATTCATATTTGCCCTCTGCAACCCTTTAGTTCTGCCAGAGACCTCACCATATAAAACTAAAGAACCCTTTATATTCATAGTATAGATCTCACACATGGCTATTATATAATTAGAATTATTTTGCTTCCCCAAGTCCCCATCCTCATGGCACAATTACTATGCAATAAAATATATTATAGTAATTCTGACAGATAAATGCAAGTTGAAATAGGGTAGACAACTCAACAAGTGGGTTAGTGATGGAACACAGAAAATATTGGAATCCCGTCTACCTAGTATTCAACCCATACTACATAGTTTTTCAGATTCAATCAAATTTCTCAGCTTCAATCAAGAGGGTGTTAAGTGTTATATTTCAATATTTATAAGGATAAATTCATAATTTAAGCCTGTATTAGTTGTGTTGGGCTAATTGATATTACTTTCCATTTGAGGGAAAAAGATGAAACACTGGGAGGTAAAAATTTTTTAATCTGGTGACATTTAAAATTGTCCTAATTCCATGCCTTCTATAATTGACAAAAATTTGATTACAGATGAGGGTAAACAATATAATCATTTTTCTTTTCCTCTGGGCAATGCAAATTTCAATTACCAGCCTTAATGAAAATTTTAAATATCTTGGGGAAAGTAGTTAATTCAATGCAGTTTTATAATAATCTACTGAATATTTATCTCAATTTGCAGATTTTTCAAGTTACTGTGGTTTCCATTAGTTTGTCAGTGTTATTAGATTCCTTTTTTCAATTCTTTTACTTTTTCACATATAACTTCTAGACTGTTTATTAGCAATAAAACTTACACAAAGAAAGAAGGCCACTTCTGATTGTAGAAGTTGTTTTAAATGACATTGTTATTGACTCAGAATCTGTCCACGTATTGAGTTCTTCCAAAGCCACATTATTTTTGTAACTATAACAGAAAAATGATCTCAATGAGAAAAATAAGACTCCGAACATAAAGTATTAGCCTTAATTTGCAAATTGTTCATTGAGTGTAACATGTATAACCAGACTAAGTCTTTTGTACTTTGTGGTTCCTATTGTGTAGGAATAATGTAAATAGAGCTATAAAATGTTGTAATTACAATAAAGTTGTCAAGTGTTGAGTCATTGTATGTGTAACTTTTTAATGACTTATGCTGCTTTTGAAGGGAATGTTTTCAGTATTCATTAGTAATAAACTTCCGAAGGCTTGAAACAACTTTTTTAAAGACTAGAGACTTGGGATAAATTATGTTAAATAATTTGTTTCACTATGGTAACCTTTAGACTATCTATATATATCGAATAGCATCACATTGTATACCTTAAATATACATGTTAACATTTATTTTTAAAAAATTATATCAAATAATATCAAACATAGGCAAAGCTGGTAAGTTGCCGTAGTAGTAAACTTAAGTATTAATAACTATAAAATGAGACTTGGAAAAAGTCTGCATTCACTGTAAACTACAGGTCCATCAAGGAATTGGAAGATCCAACTATTTCTCAGCACCCTGTCTCCACTCAAACCACAAAAATAATAGGATGAAACTCGGCTTATTTTTGTGTAAAAAATTCATTTCCCCAAATCCCATATTTTGCCTCAGATCAAGTGAACATATTCCTCTGTATTTCTCCAGTCTCCCAATAATGCCATCATGTCGTGACTAGCAAAACTCCAATAAGTTAAAAGGACATTTTCCTCCTCACCTTACCCGCAGAATTTCTCTTCTGTTTTTTAGCTTATTTCTTGCAAAATAGCCATAACTTTTATATCATCACGGTTTATCAGCTGTCTAATCAACCATTAGAGCTCATTCTATCAGAAAAGGAAGGAAAAGCAAACAAGCAACCAAAGTCTGAGCTTTTTGCAAAATTGTATTTTTCAGTACCTCTCAATAAAATATTCAACACTCATGTAAGATCAAACAAACTATACTCAGACTATGTCAGGGATTGTAATTTGTTTACTAAGTCTACTACGCATGCACACACACACACACACACACACACACACACACACGCACCACTCCCCACAACGACTTTCATACTATTACATAGCCCAGTGATAATGAAAGAGGAAGAATCTTTTTAGTCCATACTTAGCATCTATTTTTCCAACTTTAGCAGACACACATCAAATCTGAAACTGATAATAGTCAAAGGTCGATAGAATTGGTTTAATTTACATTAGAAGTTCACTTATTTACATTAGAAGTTCACTTATTCATGTTCAAG